>NC_000006.12:2332727-2484242 GCF_000001405.40 Homo sapiens | reverse complement strand
CTGTAAAATGGACCAATCAGCTCTCTGTAAAATGGACCAATCAGCAGGATGTTGGTGAGGCCAAATAAGGGACTAAAAGCAGACCACCTGAGCCAGCAGTGTCAACCCACTTGGGTCTGCTTCCACGCTGTGGGAGGTTTGTTGTTTGGCTCTTGGCAATAAATCTTGCTGTTGCTTACTCTGGGTCTGCGCTGCCTTTTTTTTGTTTTTTTGTTCTTGTTTTTTGAGATGGAGTCTCGCTCTGTCGCCCAGGCTGGAGTGCAGTGACGCAATCTCTGTTCACTACAAGCTCCGCGTCCCGGGTTCACACTATTCTCCTGTCTCAGCCTCCGGAGTAGCTGGGACTATGGGCACCTGCCACCACTCCGGGCTAATATTTGTAATTTTAGTGGAGATGGGGTTTCACTGTATTTTAGCCAGGATGGTCAGGTCCGTGCCCCCTTTAAGAGCTGTAACACTCAATGCAAGGTCTGCACGAGACCATAATCCCACTGGGAGGAAGAAACAACTCTGGACGCACCACCTTTAAGAGCTGTAACACTCACTGCAAAGGTCTGCGGCTTCACTCCTGAAGTCAGCAAGACCACGAACCCACCAGAAGGAAGAAACTCTGGAGACATCTGAACATCTGAGGGAACAAACTTTGGACACACCATCTTTAAGAGCTGTAACACTCACTGTGAGCATCTGTGGCTTCATTCTTGAAGTCAGCAAGACTGAACCCACCAGAAGGAACCAATTCCGGACACACCATCATTTAAAATCACTAACATTTTATAAGAGGAAGAAAATGTTTAAATATGTAGGAAAATATATAACAATACACCAGCAGAATAAAAAATAGGAGTAGAAACGTAATAAATTTAACTTTATAAATGTTTGCCTCATAATTGTTTTTCCCCATAGGCATATAAAAACTTTGTTATAGACCTGGGCATGGGGGCTGTGGATTAAAAGCTTATTGAGGCATTGCTTTAGTTATGGGATTTCAGCAACCAAAAAACCGTGATGGTCCTATCAGCATTTCAAAGCTATTTAAATTGATATGAACCACAAACTGAGCTATAAATCCAATTTCTTTTATTTTCTGATACAATAAACCAAAACATCAAATTCTAACATCACTCTCTTAAGTATCTCCTCCTCAGAATTGTCCATGAACCCCAAAGATTTACCAGGTCCAAGGGTGAAAGTGGGACTTGAGTTCTCAGTGCAAAAGAAAACCCTCAATGCACCACTGCAATTGCTTCTTGTCACATGGTGGCGCTGTTGAAGCTTAGTCCTGCACAGCCCTGGCAATAAAGGAACTGCCTAGGCCACCAAGGATCTTCAGGGGTCTTCAAGCCCTTTCCGAAGTAATGCTTGCCACCAAAAGCATTCTATATTAGAGCTTCAAAGTTGCAGCTCTTAAAGATATGCTCTTTCATCTCACATAGAGGGGAACCTTCCAGAACACCAACTAGCCTAGGAGCAGTTCTAACAGCCACCACCTCAGCCTACAGAACTGGCACTCCCCTTTCCTCCATGTCAACCACTTTGGCAGGAATGGGGCAGATTTTGCTTTGCACACTTTGACCAGAGAAATGCTCACCACGTCCCCTCCCTGGACACTCAGATCTCCATGCAGGGGAAGCCCTGAGTGGCCCTGTTGAACAGAGAGTCCTCTCAGTGATAGCCAGGTGAGTGTGCACTTAGGCCTATGCTGCAGAAAGGCTGCCATCTCTCTGTGATATTCTCAGCAGCCCCCCTCTCTCTCTCCCCACTCCGACCCCGGCTAGACATTGCTCCAGAGAGAACGCCCTGCTTAACGGCCATCATGCCAATCTCAAAATCTGCTTTCTGGGGATGCCAGACGGCAATGCTGGGCTGTACTTCAGAAGTTCTGGTCCTGACCATTGGATTCCTTAGGATCACAACAGACAGCACGAATAACTCACATGCTTACAAAGGTGAGCAGCTACTGCAAAGGAACGTGGGAATACGCCCTAGAGGTCACTGGCCTCAGCAGCAGCCAGTTGATCCAGCATCCTGTCTGCACTTTACAAATTGGCGGGAGGAAGTACAGCACTGCTGCAGATGGCAATGTCACCCATCGTGGTGTTCTGGACAGATCCAGTTACGTTGTCTGGCTCATTCAGTAGGATGTGTCCACATCCTGCACCCCTTGAGCACATCGGGGTGAGCAGCTGTTCACTCTGAAGACGTGTGTGGTTTCATATCTCTGAAAGGCTGGATGCCCAAGCCACAAAGGCTAACCTGGGAAAAGATCACTGGGGACACTTTCTCAAAAGGTGGCTGCACAGCAGGTGGCTCTAGGGATGTCTAGGCTTCTTTCTCACCTGACCCAGCCATCCTGACAACAAGCAGTAGAGCACTGGGGTTTAGGGTAGTGGCTCTCAAAGTGGTCTGTGGACCAGTATGAGCATCACCTGGGAAATTATTTTGAAATGTAAATTCCCAGGCCCTGCTCCAGACTTACTGAATCAGAGACTGGGTGTGGGACCAGGGAGCTGCATTCTAACAAGCCCCACAAGGGGTTCTGATGCAAACATTTCAGATTAGTGTTTGGGGACTTTTTCTGTAAAAGGCCAGATAGTAAATATCTCAGGCTTTATGGACTATGTGGACCCTGTAAGCAGCCAGGGATAGCCTGCAAACGGATGAGGGTGGCTGTGTCCCAATCAAACTGTATTTGTAGATGCTGAAATTTGCATTTCGTGTAATTTGATGATGTCATGAAATATTCTCTTATTTTAATTTTGTCAACCATTTAAAAATGTAAAAAACAATTTTTAGTTGCCAGGCCATACAACAGGCAGTCTTCCAGATTGACCCCAGCCTGTAGGTGCCACCCCTCGTGTTGAGTTCGGACTGGATTGGAATCCTGGAGCTCCCCTAACCAGGTGGGCAGCCTTGGGCAAGTCATACAGTCTGTGTGCCTCAATGTCCGCCAATATGAAATGGGGCAGTACTAGCACCTGTCTCACATGGATGCTATTAACGTTAAATGGTTACCGCACATATCACAGCCCTAAGTAGGAGCTTCTTATTTTCCCGTCCATGCGTAACTTACCTCCTTCTTATGGTCAGTTGTCCATTTCATGAGAGGTACAGCCGTCCAGCACAGAGACCCCCACAAGTGACCCTGAGGCTCCCAATGGTCTTGTCTTGGGCTCCCCGAATGCCTTCCAAGATGGGTTCATAAGGGTTGCATGCTGCTTTTGCCCCAGGAGACGAGAACCCCCAGGGCTCTGGCAGGACAGCATCCTAGTTAGATGAGCTGAATGAGCTCTTTCTCAGCCGTTGATCTGCTGTGCTGCTCGGGGTCATCCGCAATGTTCTAGGCAACGCACCACGGCTCCAATTTAACAGTTGACAAGGTCAGTCCACCCTTTATTTATAGCTTGGCCTGGAAAGTGCCAAAAGCAATGTTTTAAATAACAGTAGGGCAGGTGTCTGTGTGTGAGAGACAGACAGAACATGACAAGGGAAAAGTGACAAGAGTGGCAAATTGGCGATTCTTGCACAGGGAAGCCAGCATACCAGCCCTAAATGACCCTGCTGAAAGGGATGAGGAGGTAGCATGCCTGGAGGAGGAAGTGGAGACCTGGCATGGAGCCTCAGCTGGCTGCCTGGACAGTGCCTGTATGGAACCAGGCCAAGGCCCTGGACATCTGTGATACACACTTGTGATGTGTTCAGGGCTGGGGGTGCCCCTCTTCTACTGTGCTGTCCTTCCAGAGCCTGGGAAGCATGCTCCAAAACGTTCCTTGTCTTCTCTCATCAAAATGTAAGCCACGCTCTCCAGGCAACAATAAAATCCCTATTTGGTGCAACTGGCCCTTTGCTCACTCCTGCCAAATAGGGAAGTGCGTGGTTTATGAACTAGATAACAGTTTCTGGCTGTCCGTGATGAAAGACACTGAAATATGCTACAATGGAAACTGTGAAGTGTTTGTCTCTAGAAATTAAGAGTTTTCGATGTAAGAGGCAGAGGGGAATAAAGAGGTTTTTCTTGTTCAACATTTTCCTATTTTGCTAAACAAAAAGAGTCTGATGCAAAATAGAAAATTCAATTGCACACATTTTATCTAGATATTCTGTCACTTATGTATAACAGGAACTCCAAGAGGTAATCAAGATTCTTCCTATTCACAGACGACTCAACTGAGGCTCAATAAGGTGAAACAACTTTCTCAAGACCCTGTGGGCAGGAGTGGAGGAGTGAAGCTAAGAGTCCATTTGGCAAATGAATCTGAGCCAATGAGAAACAGCTCCAAAACCATCCCACGAGGGAGCAGGTGAGAAAAGGTCCCTATAGAGGCAAGGAAAGCCCCAAAACACTGCCAAAAAGTGCCTACACATGATCTATTTTGTCATTTCTCTGTGGCTTCTTTAAAAATTAATTTCCCCATAGTAAGACAGCCTTTCCAGAATAAATCAATTTCCCCATAGTATGACACCCTTTCCAGAATCAATTAATTTCCCCATAGTAAGACAACCTTTCCAGAATAAATCAATTTCCCCATTGTATGACACCCTTTCCAGAATAAATTAATTTCCCCATAGTGTGACACCCTTTCCAGAATAAATCAATTTCCCCATAGTATGACACCCTTTCCAGAATAAATTAATTTCCCCATAGTGTGACACCCTTTCCTTGGCTTTCAGTGACCACTTGTTAAGATCCTTGGTGACATTGTCCTTCACAGAGATAACTATTTGGGTCGAAATCTCTAACCATGTCATGTGAATGCCAAGGATGGACTGTTCTGACCCCGTCCTCAGAGACAAATGCTCTACACTCTGACACATTATTTTTTGTCTTCTCTTCGACTCCAGCCCTGTCCTTGTTGTCACTGACTCCGTCCTGCTTGGCCCAAGGACAGGCTGAGCTCTCCCCAGTACCATGTGGACACAACAGTCATGAGAGGGCCACAGCAAGGGGTATCCATGGAATATCGTCTTGCTTAGGATGTTTCAAACTTGTCCAAAGGACAACAGGAGGACTTTACCCTGGAGGACTTTTAGAAGAACATGTGTTCCACTATGCACATCTGTAGTAAAGGCCGACAAAGAAACCAAACTGGGACCAATTGAGCTAACATTTCTTGAAGGCCAGTGCCAGACACAAGCCCTGAGTCACAGAAATATGGTAGCCAACTTTGGATGAAGCCAATTTCTCATCCCTACTTCCCTCAGCAGAAGCCAATAGTGAGATGGATACTCCCACCTGACACGTGACTAGAACTCATTCTCCGAATTCTGAATCCTCTTTCATTACTCTATAAACTCTGCAACCTGATAGTCAGTGTTATCCCTAATTCAGAAGAAATTCTACCTTAAAGCTCTGCCTCCCCTGGCCCATTCTCCTTCCCTTGGCATCAGGAGGTATTCAACCATTTTGATGAGCCTGGAGATCTAAACTTATGAGAAAGGTTTGCCTGGGCTAATGCCCCTGCCCTGTTGGGTGGTGCCTGGGGTGCCATGGCACTTGGGCACGAGGAAAACACACCACCCCCCATGCAGGTGCTTTCATGGCTTGGAGAGAGTGCAAAGTGCATACTCATGCCAGGGGTGGCCAGCGTGGCAGGTGGGAGCCCTGGGTCTCCTTCCCAGGTATCCACTGCTGAGTCAGCCCTGCCAATCCTCCTCATCTGTTTTGCTTCAATGTCTGCCCTAAAGGCTGTGAGCAAAATCGTTCCCTCAGCATTTTCCTTACAGCTAAGAGAGGGAGAAAGAGAAAGATGAAGGACATTCACCCTCTGGCCCTACCCAGAGGCCTCTGTGGGCGTCCCGCAGGCAGAAGAGGATGACAGATGTCACCCCTTCCCTTGTGTGCAGGGGAGGCCGCCTCTGCCTGATTCTGTCCAGTTAGCAAAACAGGAGGAGCTGCCAAGACAAATAGCTGAGATATGAGAGTTACAGCTAGCGCTCACCACGGTGTGAAACAGACCCGTGAAACGAGACATCAAGGATGCTGCTTGGAATAGCTTGAATGTCGAACATTCTTTCCCAGTGGAGGGACAGAAGGAGGCCAGCAGCAGCAGTGTGGGAGATGGAGGCACAGTGTTGTCCTGGGGGCCGACACACGGGGCAACCCCAGGTATCACCCTGGGAGGTGGGAGACAGTGCCCACTCTTCACCCATTCCATGCCAAGGCTCCCTGCTACCCTCATCAAAAAATAACACGGCTATTAATAGGTCATATCAAAAGAGCCCTTGTAGTTTATAATCATTTTCATCTGGCTTAGGGAACAGCAACCATAAAATGTCTGTCTGGTGGCTGCTGGGCCGGCAGGGCAGGTTTATATTAGCTAGTACTCAGAACGTGGTGGCAATGACAGACTAGGCAGAGGATGGTTTATGGGCTTTAATGCCTGTGCTGACATGGAGGATCGGAGCGAGATTTATTTTATGCCCGGGCCATCACTGAACACTGAAAACCAGTCATTACAAGCCAGATGACAACTGGAATGCACTAATCACTTGAAGGAATATTTATTTGGTTTTTAAGTTTTTGGATGAATCTGGTTTTCGGAAAGTCAGGCCCGCTAGGAAGTCAGACTATGCCATTATTACATCCAAACCATTATACATTTGCTAGCCAATTATGTAATCCTATATGGAAAACATAACCAGAAAGCAGGATAAGCCCCAAGACCTGAAGGCTCATTATTCCAGGCTCACCATCATCTGTGGTTACTACACACACTAAATATTATTAATGGACCAAAAGAACCCAATACTTGTAAAGTCTGGTCAGTATCATTAAATCCACAGCTTCCTGTGACAGTGAATTTGATGGAGTGGCAATATGTATTAGGTCACTTTTCTTCTGACTCATTTCACTGGATTTCATGCGATAAAGTAGCAAAAAGAGGCCATTTTTATTAAGCCCATTGTCAGCCTAAAGGTTCAATTAAGTTTCTATAAACACATCTTCTTTTGACACTACAACCATCCCTGATGTTAGCATTCCTGCTCTCAAGCAAGTCATGCCTTAGAATTAACTACATTTACTCGTGACATTGTTAACAGTTCCTGCTTCTTCCAGATGAGTAAAGGAGGTTGGGCAGAAATGCTGGATATGCTACTATTTCTTTTTTCTTTCTTTTTTTTTTTTAAGATGGAGTCTCGCTCTGTTACCCTGGGCTGGAGTGCAGTGGTGCCGTCTTGGCTCACTGCAACCTCTGCCTCCTGGGTTCAAGCGATTCTCCTGCCTCAGCCTCTTGAATAGCTGGGACTACCGGTGCATGCCACCATGCCTGGCTAATGTTTTGTATTTTTAGAACAGACAGGGTTTCGCCATGTTAGCCAGGAGGGTCTCGATCTCCTGACCTTGTGACCTGCCCTCCTTGGCCTCCCAAAGTGCTGGGATTACAAGTGTGAGGCACTGCGCCCGGCCATATGCTACTATTTCTATAAACTATGGCCTAACACTACCTGTATCATCTTCAATTCATGCCATCCCACTTAACTATCTTGTTTTTCTTTCCTTTCCAGAACTCTATGCGAGCACTTTTTTGGGATAATTTTTCTCCCTAGGAGGATCCATCATTTTCCCAGTGCACCAGGAACAAGAAGCCTGGGCTGATTCACAGAGGGCGGCTCAGGCAGCCCCTCCCATGACACTCCGCCTAACTGGTCAGCCAAGTGTACCCAAGGCTCCAGACAACGTCACAGCCTAATGGCTGCTGGGTGTGTCCACAGTGTGGAATGCATTGAGCTGTTTGCTCCTGTGGGCACATTTCTGAGTCTATGTCATCCCCACCAAAATAAATCATGTTTTAAATGTACATGAACTATGACCATAGATGTGCTCTCCCTGTCTCTTCTCCATCATTAAGTCTCAGGTAAGTACAAAGCAAATAAAGGAAAAGCCCTCTAATGTGCACGGAGATTCTGGGGCTTTGGAGTGGCTGTGTTATACTTGAGAGATGGCAGCATGCGGGTTTTAGGGAGAAGGCAGATACCAGAACCCAGCTCCTGCCCTTGAATTCGTTGTTGCCAGTTCCTGTCTTGACTTCAGGTGTCGTCTCTTCACCCACCCCCTGGCTTCTGTTCAACAACTTCTACTTTGCAGGATGTTCTTGTTTTGTTTTAGAGACAGGGTCTCACTCCGTCACCCAGGTTGGAGTGCAGTGGTGCGATTATGGCTCACTGCAGCCTCGAACTCCTGGGCTCAAGCAATCATCCCACCTCAGCCTCCTGTGTAGCTGGGTCTGTAGGCATATGCCACCATGCTTGGCTAATTTTTTGTATTTTTTGTAGAGATGGGGGTCTCCCTATGTTGCCCAGGCTGGTCTTGAACTGCTGGCTTCAAGCGATCCTCCTGCCTCCGCCTCTCAAAGTGCTGCGATTACAAGCATGAGCCACTGCTCCTGATCCTACTTTGCATGTTTTGGATTTTGTCACATTTGTATTTAGCAAACTTCAAGAAAAAAGGTATCAGAAAAAAGAAAAGCAAATCTTGCTGCATTTTTCTTCCAGGGTAACCCTGTGCAAGGAATTCATTCATTTTCTTATCTAAGTACCCTTTTTCGACCATGTCAGAAATCAAGACATTTCTAAGACAACATTTAAAGGTAATAAATTAGGCAAACACAAACCTATTTTTCAAAGGCTTTGAAAGACTTTCAAAGCTAGGGCACAGAGGGCCTGGCCAAGGGCTGCAGCTCTCCGTGGCCTCACGCGCAGTACTCTCAGCATCTGCGCCAGGGGTTCTCTGTTCTGGTTCCCACAGGTCCACGCTGCATCTCCCCCATCCTGGCATGGGCCTCCCCAGTGGGCTTCTGTCCTCTGACTTTCAGTTGGCTTTGGTGATAGAGAGTGAGGTCAGGGTATTTGCTCCCCAGCTTCCTTCCTGAGGAGTTGCTTCTGATGGGCTTTGTCCCCTGAGCTAAGGTGACAGTTCTTCTCCAGCTGGCCTTTGCCACAGCACTGTCTCCTTTCATGTTCCTGTAACCACTGGCCGCCCTCATCCAGTGTTACTATCACCTGCCATTTCCCTAAACCCTGTTGTCAACTTTGTCCATCCCCTCAAATTATTATAATTTGTTTCACCGTTTGACTGATTCAACACGGGGTCTCATGGGGAGGTCTGGCCAAGCACAGCCTGGAGCCACGTGCCATGTACTAGAATGTTCCGAGGTTTGGGATGTTTGTGGCCGCAGAAAGGAAAGGATCTGTGCTGTAATGCATGCTCCAATGCGGCCCATTAGGATTGTACACATCTGAGGGGCTTTTCTGGAAAGCTCTTATCAAAGTCTTTGGTCTATCTCATGGTTCTTTGGCGGTCTACACTCTACATTGAACAACGCTGGCCTGCGTGAATATTGCTAGACATGCACAACCCACAGTTGAACACCTGGATGGATCTTCCAAAAGGAAGCACACTTACGCCAGCAGCACTGGGATCAAGAAACAGGCATGACCAGCATCCTCCAAGCTCCCTCCCGGCCCCAGCCACTCCACCTCCAGTGGTAGCTTTCACACAAACTTTTAATGCCATCGTCCCATTTGTGCTGTTTTTGAATGTTACGTAAGTGGAACCGTGTTATATGTACCTTTTTGTGTCGACCTCCTTTTGCTTTAGATTATGTTTTGGCATTTATCTAGGCTGTTGCATATGTTCATTCTCATTGACGCACAGTTTTTCACTGTGGACACATCACAGCATTTATTCATTCTACTCTAGAAGAACGCTTAGGTTGTTTCCACATCGGGGGCTATGAAAATGGTGCCACCGTGAACATACACGTGTCTTTTGCTGAACATGGTGTATGCATTTCTGTGTGCATGTATGTTGGATCATTGAATCTTAGATAATGTGTATGTTTAGCTTTAGGAGATGATTGCTAAATAGTTTTCTGGAGTGATTGTATTAATTTTCATTCTGGGTAGACTTATCTTTTTGATCATTTCCTGAGTGTGTATGCATGTTGCACCTCTCCTATTGGGATTCTGGACCAATGAAAGGCTCTGGTTTAAGGCCCTGATGAAGATGTTTTTAGGCCCCCAGGCAGACTGGTGAAAACTCTTTGGCAGAATTTGCATCAGTACACCAAAAACCAGGGTCTTGGTGCCGTGATTTGTACCAGCTCCTCCCTGCCTGCCCTTCTGACCCATGTTCCCTCCTGGCCAGCGCTGTTCAGGACAGACAGAAAAGAGGAGACTGGGGTTTGGGAAGAGAAATGGAGATAAAGTACACAACAGAGATGTGGTGTCAATTTCCAGCGCGGATTTGAGAGCAATCCAAGGGGCAGGGTTAACCCAGACCTGAAAACCATCCTGCTCTTCGGGCGTGCGGCCTTGTGTGTGGGGAGTGGGGGACCCCAGGGGGGTTGCTCCACATCAAGCAGACCCAGGAGAAAAACACCTCTTACTTTGCATTATCGGCCACAAAGGAAAATAATGACACAGGCATCTCACTGGAATGGATGGAGAGGAAAATCCTGAAATGTCTCCATCGAATAAGGAATGAGAAGTGGGAAATAATTGTGGAGTCCCCACTACTACCAATGTAAGATACATTAAATACCACCGATAACTTCCCTAACTAGTGTCTAGCAGTATTGTTTCATTTTATAGTATAGATAATTTAATAAGAGCTACTAACATTTATTCACAGTTCTAACCCCTAAGGCTGCCGTAACAAATCACCTCAAACTGTGTGGCTTAAAGTAATGGTAATGTATCCTCTCACTGTTCTTGAGGCCAGAAGTCTTGATCCAGGTGTTTGCTGGTCTGTTCCTTCCAGAGGCCCTGAGGGATCCTCTGTGCTGGGCCTCTCTCTCGGCTCCTGATGCTGCAGCAATGCTGGGCATTCCTTGGCTTGCAAAGCATCCCCTGATGGCTGCCTGTGTTCACATGGTGTTCTCTGTGTGTGTGTGTGTGTGTGTGTGTGTGTGTGTGTGTGCGCGCGTCCAAGCTTTCTTCTCTTGTAAGGACACTAGTCATGTAGGATTTAGAGGCCACCCTACTCCAGTATGGCCTCATCTTAACTTGATTACGTCTACAAAGACCCTGTTTCCAAATAAGGCCACATTCACAGATTCCAAGTAGACATAAATTTGAGGTTGGACAGCGGCGGGGAGAGGCATTGCTTTTCAACCCTTTACACCCCCTACATGATTTTTCTCCATGACCTTAAGATGAAGTATGAATTCTCCTCCTACATAGATGTCCAGGGGCATAATTTTTGCTGTTATAAAGGGAACCCAGATGTATGTAATGAGTCTTGGGATGGAGCGAGAATGTGAGTTAGGAGAAAAGAGGCTCTTGTCCCTTCTCTGATATGCGTAGCTCTTGTCATAACTTAGGAGGGAAGAGAACTAGGGGAGGACACTTAGAGGACAGCTACTGCTAACGTTGGCCAAGGTCTTATAGTACAGTGAAGTAACTAGCTTATAAACCCTGAGGCAGCAATGTCCACAAAATGGGGAATTCCAGCTGCTTATAACCAGAGAGAAAAGGCTGTCCCATGTTTTAGGGCTAATGAACGCTTGCCAATGGCCTATTTCCAGGCAGCCCGGAGCACCTGACTGGCAGGAGAGTAGAGCACCTGTGGAGATCCATGCACAGACACACAGCCATGGAAGCTGTGGAAATCTTTCCACTTTGCTCTGTGATGCACATTTTATGTCTGTCATGCATTCTGTCTGTGAGTTTCTCTTTTTTTCCGGGGTGCCTACAGCAGGACCTCACCCCAGACAATGGCAGGATGGCCTGGAGATGGGAAGGGAGGAAAGGCCATCCTATTCCATGAGCAGCATTCCCAGTGGTGCCGCACAAGCCAGGCCATAGCAACAACTGGAAACCTTCTCCTGGAGACCTGGGGAAGGGTCCAGCTCACACAAAGCCTAACTACTACCATCACCCGACCTCAGATCTCTGTGCCACCATGATCTAGTACACCAGAATCTGCAGGGCCAGGTGAAGTTGGCGCAGCTTTTGGTTAACAGCGATGCAAATGGGACTTCAGATTCAGATGACTGTTGAATCCAATAAAGAGAAAATTGGGAAGTCTCCATTTATTGCTTACATTTTTATTCCGTAAAAAGTCAACTCAGATGACTCAGTCCAAAGGAAACCTATTATCGTGTGTGCTTGGAAATGCCCAAATTCACTCTATAATTTTTAAATTCACTCTATATTTTAACATTTGGTTCATGACTAAAGGAGCTTCAGGTTTTGAAGGCAATTACCTTCACAGCATATCAGCTATAGCTAATGATAAATATCCATTCTCAGCTCAATTCAGGGCAGGGTATATTTTCAGAAAATGGCTCTTTTAAAAGTATAACTGAAAAGCAGTGGTCAGGTTAGGCCTACTTAGTGTTTAATTAGGACATGGTTGCCTCCTTAGAAACCCTAAAAAAGAGGACCTTTGAGGCACAGGTTGCTTCTGTAAGCATTGCACATGGATCAGAACCGAATTATTTTCTGTTTCAAAAACAGCTTTTGCCAAGGGAAGGTGCTGCCTGGAGCCACGCTGAGACTGACACGCCCTATCGACTCTTTTGTTCTGACTTTCCAACACACTCATCTCTTCGCCTTGGGTTTGCTCAGCTGGCCACGAGCACGTGCTGAGTGCAGGCTAAAGTTCAGGAGAGGATTCACAGAAACATCAGAGAGGTAAACATGAGAAAGAAACGAGGAAATTCAAATTGCGCTGAATATGCCACCCATCTGTCATTAATTTTGAGTGGAGTTGCAGCTCACCCACAGGGTAGCTTCTCATATCAGAACATAAGAGGGAAATAGGGCATCACCTTGAACCATCCTCAGAATGCCCCACGTGGACATGCCCTTCGTCATTTCCTTCATTGGTAGAAGTGTTGGCTGCTTCTATGGTTGAACACCAAATGAAGGTGTTGCCTGGGTTTAGAGGCCATTTCTCTTTAAGCCCTAGGCTCACACTCAGCGCATGGGATGTTTATGCCATAAGTGCGTGGATGTTTATGCCACTTGTGGCTGATGAGCGGCACGGCACCTGCAGAGCCCCCAGCCCTGCTTCACTCCAGGACACACAGTGAAGCATGAGAGTGTGTAATCAACCACAGCATTTAACATTTTTTTTATTTTTGCAGAACACGTAAGGTTGAATTCATAGAAGTGAAATGTAATTTTGATATAACTCCACTCAATTTCAAACCGACATGCACATCTCAGGGGTGATACATAAAACATGTATGATAATTTTCCATATTTATGTAGTTAGTATGTAATTAATAGCTAAGTAGTTAAAGCAGTTACATGTGCTGGGCCTGTGCATTTCATGGAAAATGAATGAACAGACTCATTTATGGTAATTGGTTGAATAAGCTTCGGAGTGGCAGAAACACATCTAAAATTAAGACTAATGAACATAAATAAATCATTTGTTTTATGATGGCTCAATCTATAGGCTATAAATGATAAACTTTGAAAGATATGTTTTATATCTTTATACATGTTTTATAAAAGATTATATTACTGCAAGTTGGAGACAAGCAAGAACCAAATAAGTGCTATCAGCCTGAAATGCTGGAACTAATCAAGCATTGAAGACAGGGAGGTGAATAGATTTCTTGCTGTTCCTGGATACTGAGCTATAAAGTGAACTCTAACACAATTTCTAATGGACTATTTTCATACACCAAACAAATAATAAATTGTGATCCATGGAGCAAGTCCAGCAAAAGCTTCTAGCAAATAACAATTAAAAGAATAGAAGGCTTATTGATTACTATGGAGTTATTTATTTTAAAATATTGCCATCTTAAAGCAACATATTACTAAATTATGGATGATTTTTAACAAATTCCTCATTTAAAAAGATGGAAAGCTCTGGGAAGCCTCATGATCTTTATAGAATTCTCTGTCCCCCAAAGGCATGGGAGAGCTAAACTCTGGAGTAGACATTTCCTTAACCAGTCTTAGCAATTCTTGCTTCCTCTCCCCCAAGAAACTCTCCCCTTTCTCTGATGGAGGAGAACAATACAAATTTCCTTAGAATCGACAGGCTATGCCTTAGAAGCCACAATAGCTTGTGAGATCCAGCTGACCTATATTGGGTAGAAAAACCCACAACTGAAATGAAACAAAATTCTTCCTTGAATCTACAATATTGGAGCTTTACTCTGGAAAGAGATAAAATGACCAAAACTTTCCCGATGTGCCTCCTTCACCTGGGCTTCCCATCCTGAGGAAGTAGCTGGAGTGAGCTGGGCCTGGCAGGTCTCAGCACAGCCACCCCAGGAAGAGCGTGTCCTCCTGCATCTTCGCCCGGCTCAGCCAGGTGAGGAGCCAGTCCACATCTGAGGCCGTATCATTTACCCAAAAAAGAAGAAATGCAGTGCATTTCCCCAAGAATGGGCTGTTTGGGAGCAAATCCAATTTGTCATAGAAATAGCCTGCATGGATCAGTGCAGGATGGTCAGCTTGTCAGAGATGCAACCAGCTACTCATGATCCATCCTGAAGTCAATTATAACCCCTAGAATCTAGCAGAGTAGATCACCACAGCCCCATTTTGCACACACACATGCACACGTACACACACGTCCACATGCAGGCACAGACATGCACACACACACGTCCACAGGCATGCACAGACATGCACACATGCACGCACATGCACGCACACATGCATGGATGCACAGACTCCCAAGCACATTCCCCGCTCTGCTTCCTGCCCAGGTACAGGTGTGGCTCTGTCCACATGGTCCCCACTGCTCCCACGTCCCACAGCATAAATGCACGCCCAGGTGTGTGGAGACTCCTGGTGCAGGGGAAGTGAAAACACATGCTCCTCACACATGAAGCACTAATTTCCAGCTGTGGGCAAAGGTGAGTACAGCAAGGCCACTGCCAGCCTCCCCGCAGCACCCACTGGGATCCCTCCATTCTGCTCTGGGACTTTGCTGGGATGCCCACCAGCTCTGCAGGGCAGGCTATGCATGCAAGGGCCGCGTAAACAGATGCCCACAAAAACTGGGTCCATCAAGACCACCAGTCTTGTTTTCCCTCTGAACCAGCCAGAAGTTTAAGTCAAGTCACCCTAGGGGAGCAAGTGCCCAACCGTCGCATCCACTGTGACAATAGTGCCACATCCGCTGCAGGCTGAGGTTCTGGGAACAGAAAAGAAAGCTTGGAGAAGAGAACCCCTTTGACATTCCCGAAATCCAAACCAGTGCAGTCCCAAACACCAGAGTGACTCCCTGGAGGGACACTTGTTTATCCGTTTGTTTGCATCTCTTGGTTTCCTACTTTTACCCCAAACCAGAAAAAGGGACAGGCGATACTAAAAGCAATGGTACATTTTTGTCATATTTCTCATCCATTCAGAACTAGAAAGCAGCAGAAATCTTGTGGGAAAGTCACTTCTCAGGAGATTTCTAACCCGATTTCTTAACTACAGTGGTCTGGATTTTTTGCCTAAATTTTAGATAAGGTCTTAATTCCTGGTTGCTTGGCTGCTCAAATTTCAAATTCTTCTCAGGTTCACATCAATCATTCCAAGAGACAAGCGAAACATTTCACATAACACAATGTGCTGGCTTTTAGCGTATCTTTGGTCTGAATGTGTAAGACTTCTGTGTCTTTGAGGAAAAGCATATCTCCCAAAAAAGGCCCCCCTGGCTCTCTCTCGCTCCCTCTCTCTCTCCCTCTCCCTCTCTCACTCCCTCTCTCTCACTCCCTCTCTCGCCCCCACCTTGCTCCCTCTCTCTCTCCCTCTCTCTCTCTCCCTTTCTCCCTCTCTCCCTCTCTCTGTCTCTGGCTCCCTCTCTCTCTCCCTCTCTCACTCCCTCTCTCTCTCTCCCTCTCTCTCCCTCTCTCCCTCTCTCCCTCTCTCGCTCCCTCTCTTTCTCCCTCCCTTTCTCTGTGTCTCACTGTCCTTATGTCTCTGTCTTCCCTTTCTCATTCCCTTCCTCTGTGTCTCTGTTTCTCTCTTATACTCTCCCTTCCCTCCCTCCCTTCCCTCTCTGTCTCCCATTCTCCTCTCTCTGTCTCTCTCTCTCCCCTTCCTCTCTCTGTCTACCCTCCCCTCTCCTCAACTCTGAAGCTGGATCTCACCACCCCTGCAGCCCAGACTCCGACTCTCTCTCTCTCCCCTTCCTCTCCCTGTCTACCCTCCCCTCTCCTCAACTCTGAAGCTCGATCTCACCACCCCTGCAGCCCAGACTCCCACACTCTCTCTCTCCCCTTTCTCTCTCTGTCTACCCTCCCCTCTTCTCAACTCTGAAGCTCGATCTCACCATCCCTGCAGCCCAGACTCCGACACTGAGCTGGGAAACCAAGTGTGCTGTAAACACAATGTATGAGGAAACCACAGAAATGAAGACAATTAGGGTAAATAAGATCCAGTGATCAAATATAGCTAATTTGTATCCATAATATTTGGGAGTTACACAGTCTGCTTCAATTTGAAAGATATCTTCCAGACCACACTGTTTTTTCTCCGTGGGGACTGCCTTTTGCTTTTAATTATTGAACCTGAAGAATTCTTGCCATAATTTGGGGTTAGCTTGTCATTCTTGAAGAAGAAAAAAAAATCTAGTCCACAAATCCTCCTGTATTCCAACAATTCCAATACTAGGCTTCTGTGGCCAAATTGACCATCAATTAGCTGTGTTTTTCAGAAGGAGTGGGTGAAGCAGGGAGAGGAATCGGAGAAACTCACAGCAAGCATGGCCTCAAATAGCAGTGGGGTGGATGCAAACTCCTTGGCAAACAGCCTTGGCTAAATAAAATGTATAAGAAAGATCTCGGAAATAGAATATGTTACAAAGAAAAAGTGAACTCTAAACAACAAGGCTTCACCTTCCTCCTTGAAGAGGTGTTGGGTGCTTTTAGGAATTTGCTAACACTGTCCACAATTTAGGAAGTGCATTCCGCGGCGCCGTCTTGTTAATACTAATTGTTCCTCGTGATAGAAGGTGGAGCATGCCCTTGGTCCCACCCAGGGGTGCTGGGATGCATGGAGGACCCTGACAACAAGTGAGCTTTCATTCTCCAAGCAGGGCTTGCAGCGACAAGGACAGCAGCCTGAGCCACCTCACTTGACACGAGATCGTTTTGCACACTCAGGCACACCATCCGTGAGCCAGCTGCATGCCGTATGAACCGTGCCTTTATTTTCTATACTTTGGTGCTTCCACATCCAGGGTCTAGGCTGACCCTGGAGAGACTGCTCCTCCCCACTCCTCCCCACCACACCGCCAGTTAGTTAATTCCTTGAGATGATAAACAACTCCCTGCAAGCTCACCTTTCATAGACACCCCGACCACCTCCCTCATGGGGCTCTCATGCTCTGGGCCACCATCCACCTTCCCTGATACACCCAGGTCCATGTACCAGACAACAAGGAACAGTCTTATGAGCCAGAGCCTGCTGAAATTATTCCACCTGGCCGATCCTCAGCCTGCTTATCCCTCCTTACCTGTTCCTTCCTGCTGAAACCCCAGAGAAGCCTCTGGCCACAGTTTCTCCCCTTCCTCTACCTCCCAACCAGCCTGGTGCTTTCATTGCCCCCATGACACGGCACGCCCCTCCTCTTTGGAACCGTGTGTAATAAGCTGCCTCTTCAGTGGTAGTCTTCTCCTGGTCTGTTGGCCTTACATACCCGAATAACAATAAAACTCACATTTTAAAACACAGGTATTTCCAGCCAGAGACATCAAAGACCAGGAATTCATTTCTTGGGGAAGATAGGCTTATTTTCTCGCAAACCAGCTGTGTTTTAAAAAGTAACAGGGAACAATAGGATTCCAAATTTTCAAAAATAAAATAGTTTATCAAGTTGGCAATTTTACGTACATACATACACGCCCACACATGGAGCTGCAAGAGCCTGTCGTCGGAACATAGACTCTCTCATCAATGTTGTGGGAATGTGAGTAAGAACAACTTTTCCGGAACTGTATTTGGTATGACTATTTGAAGCTTTAAAAATCTGCATCCCCTTTCACCTGGAAATTCTACTTTGAGGAATATATCCTAGGGGGGGAAACAAAAAGATGTAGTAAAATGGTTTTCCTGAAAGCATCGTTTGTAATTTAAAAGAGTGGGGAAAAGCATCAACCATAAATATCCAGGAACAGAGGACTTGGTGAGTAAGTGACCTCCTGCAGAACGGGAAGTTCCATCCTGCCGCTACAATGATAACTGGTGAATGTAGAAAGATGTTCACAACATAATTTTAACTTAAAAAAAAGATATTACAGGCCGGGCACGGTGGCTCTCGCCTGTAATCCTAGCACTTTGGGAGGCCAAGGTGGGCAGATCACCTGAGGTCAGGAGTTCGCAACCAGCCTGGCCAACATGGAGAAACCCCATCTCTACTAAAAATACAAAATTAGTGGGGCATGGTGGCACATGCCTGTAATCCCAGCTACTCGGGAGGCTGAGACAGGAGAATCGCTTGAACCCGGGAGGTGGAGGTTGCGGTGAGCTGAGATCATGCCATTGCACTCCAGCCTGGGCAACAAGAGCAAAACTCCGTCTCAAAAAAACCAGATATGATTATCACTCTATGTTCTGACAGGTAGTAAAACAGATATTTACCAATATCTGCTCTGAATATCTTAAAATCATAAATGTCCACCTCCAGCATCAGCGTGCATGGAGAGCAATGTCAGCACCCAGGGACCACTGAAACATTACGGGGCACTTGGGACAAATGTATAAAGGGGCTGGACAGGTACGTGCTGGGGTGTAAATAACAGTGAGTCTTGGATGATGAAATCATGAGTGTTATATAGTCATAACTGTGGTAAGTTTAAAAAAAGAAATCAGGACGGGCGCGGTGTAATCCCAGCACTTTGGGAGGGCGAGGCGGGCAGATCACTTGAGGTCAGGAGTTTGAGACCAGCCTGGCCAACACGGTGAAACATCATCTCTACTAAAAATACAAAAATTAGCCGGGTGTGGTGGCGGGTGCCTGTAATCCCAGCTACTCGGGAGGCTGGGGCATGAGAATAGCTTGAACCCAGGTTGCAGTGAGCTGAGATCACACCACTGTACTACAGCCTGGGTGACAGAGTGAGACTCCATCTCAAAACAACAACAACAAAAGAAATCATGAGTGTTTTAAAATTCTCTTTTGCTTGCTTATGTTCATATCTAATGTTCCTATAATGAACGTATTTCTTTTGTATTAAGAAAAGATACACTTTTAAAACATTTCTCAAAAGGCCGTTTCTAAGAAATGGAAGAAAATTCAACTCAAAAGAGGTATTGACCCACTCACCCAAGAGAATTCCATTTTTAGGGCTACCAGGGTTCCTTCAGGTCAGTTGGGTATAATTCAGACCACGAGGGCTGACAACCGGCTTTGCTGAGCGACTAGGTTTTCTAGACCAAAGAACAGGGCACAGAGTTTGGTAACTGTGCCTGCTCTTTGGAAGTAAGATCACCCCAGGGCAGGGCAATCCTGTAGTTGCTGAACTAGTCTAAACTTTGAAAACCACAGAGACCCACAGGTGGAGGCTTAAAGGAAAATTAAGCTGAAGCAAAAACAAATAAGCAAACATGGTTTCTAAACACTGGAAAGATGGCCCTTCATTAAACTGTCCCTCAATTCCCTTCGACTCAGCAACATTTCGGGGGATCTTGTCTGTGCCAGACAGAGGCTGGGTGCCAAGGACAGAGAAGTGGATGGGCATGGACTCCGCCTGTGCTCTGCAGGGCCTTTTAGCATCTTCTCATCTGGTGGGAGGAATGCAGGCCCTTGGAAGTACGAATGCAGGGAGGACTAGACAGAACAGACATGGAGTTCCATTTTATTGACTGACTGTGAAAGTTAGCCACCCTGAGCCTCATTTGCACCCATATCTGCAAAGTGGGCATCATAATAAATATGTCATGACGTTGCTGTAAGAATTGTACCTATGAAGTGGCTAGATCAGTGCCCGTCTCCCCACTTCCATGAACTGTTCCACACCCCACTGAACAAATGGTCAGCTCCTGCCGAGGGAATCCAACCCCGTTCCTCTGCAGACCCAGCATTTTCACCATTTAACTTAGAATTATTATTCTAATCAGTCATGGTTCCAAGAGTGCCTAGTGGATGTTGGGCATTAGTATCTGGAAAGAATTCTTGACAGTCTCCATTTGATCATCTGAATTTCCTAACAGGTACTCCTGGAATGCTTTTATAAAGTAGAATGGCTTGAGCTAGCTGAAAAAATGTCTGTGACATGCTTGCCATACATCTTAACTAATTAGACGGGTCTTCACAGCTTTAAAAAAAGCAGAGATTTGGCCAGGCGCTGTGGCTCACACCCTTAATCCCAGCGCTTTGGGAGGCTGACGTGGGTGGATCATGAGGTCAGGAGATCGAGACCATCCTGACTAATATGGTGAAACCCCATCTCTACTAAAAATACAAAAAATTAGCCAGGCGTGGTGGTGGGCACCTGTAGTCCCAGCTAGTCAGGAGGCTGAGGCAGGAGAATCACTTGAACCCAGGAGGCGGAAGCTGCAGTGAGCCGAGATCACGCCATTGCACTCCAGCCTGGCGACAGAGCAAGACTCCGTTGGAAAAAAAAAAAAAAGCAGAGACTTGTATAATTAGCAGAATACCTCTGTGTCAATAAACTCTGTATCAATCCTTTTCCTGCCCTAATCTCAGAGCGTGCTTGTTATTTTCTATCACATTTTCCTTGGGCATGTCTAAGGAATTTTTAACGGTCACTCTACAGACACTGGCCATGCCTGTGGTTACTACCCAGGAGTGGGAAACAACAGACATTTACTGACTTGTCACAGGGTTCAAGATCCCTGTCCAGCCCTGAGGGTCAGCATGTGAGGCTTCCTCCCTGTGTCTGCCAACACCGGTCAGATGCAGGGCCCACTGTGTTAGTCCAGGTCCCCACAGATGCAGGTACCAAGACCTGTGAAATATGCAAGCACTATAAGGGGAAACACCTAAGAATGGGAGAGCCAGGTACGACTGGGGGAGCCACCAGGCTATGATGCAAGTCAGACCGAGTGAAGGAGAGAGGGGGGCGAGGGTTGGGGAAGGCCTCCGGACCACTCCATAGTCTAAGAATGTTTCTGAGGGGCCATCAGATAGCTCTCAAGCCAACAGTGCCTACCAGAGGAATTCCCCATTTCCCAGGAGGGATACTGCCTCAGTATCCCGGCTGCCTGTAGGAAGCACAGCCTCCAAGGACAGGCGGAAGCCAGTGATGGGTTTCAGAGCCCGCAGCTGGGCCCCCGGGCTCCTTCCGCTTCTGCAGTTGGAGGCCTGTGATGCAGTCTGCTCTGCAGGAAGCTCCTTGCTCTCCAGGCACTCACGCCTTTGCAGCTGTGCCCCTCTGTCCCTAGGGTACCTGTGGATACCCTGGGAAGTGCGTGGTGCCTTACCATGGTGCTCGCTTGGTACATACCTTTGTTTTCTTCTCGATTAAATTCAGCAAATGCCAAGGAGGCCCCAGGCCCTGCGCTGGCCCACAGTGCCCAGAGGTGGCAGCTGTCCTGGGCATGTTTGGCCCTGAAGAGTGAGAGGTTCCAGGCCAGTAAGGAGGGGACATGGCCTGAGAGGAGGAGAGGGTGGAAGAGGCAGATGGAGAAGGGAAAAGCCACAGTCACTGGGATGCAGGACGGGATGAAACCAGAGAGGGCTCATGGATGCCGAAGCGAAGAGGGTGCCGAGGAAAAGGGGCGACTGGCGGCGGACGCAGAGAAGAGGAGGACTTCGCATCACAGGCGGGCAGAAGCCTGAGTTTCCAGGCCATCGGTGAGGCTCAGAGACTGTGAGTGCCTTTGCTCAAGTGCATGTGGGGGCTGGACCAGGACTCTTCAGGGTCTCATTTTGTGGGTTTGCCATCCGAGCCCCCTTCCTTAGCCTTCATTTCTTCATCGCTGTGACCTTCACAGTAACCCTGTGATCTCCCAGGATCTCCCCGAGTCTCCCTTCCTCAGCTTTCTCACCAGGTCATAGGAGCTACCATGGCCCCATCCGGCTAAACCATCCCTGATCCACCAGGGGAGATTAGACGTGGTCACACAGGATGGGTATCTTCATGCCCAGCGAGACCCTCTGTGAGCCTCCACCCCCCGTCTGCAGAGGTGCAGGAGGACGTCTGGAAGTTGCACAGTATGACCTGAGCGGGATTTCTCAGGAGACTTCACTTGTGCCCGGGTCAACAGAAGAAGAACAGGCGCAGGACCCCCTGAGCTTCCGGACACCCCACAGGGCAATGTGCCAGCCCAGGGCACAGCAGGACCTGAGGCGTGGACTTTGTTCTAGGAGGGGACGCAGGCCTCGCTCTTCACAGGGACCCCCACAGCAAAGCAGCCCTGTCCATGGGGGCATCGACAGCCTGCTCGGTGCCAGGCAGTCTGGGTTCGCTCTGTCGGCTCTTTACAGGATGAGACACCTGTTGAACATCAGCCACCCTGAGCCTGGAGAATTATTTATTTATTTATTTATTTGAACGGAGTCTCGCTCTGTTGCCCAGGCTGGAGTGCAGTGGCGTGATCTCTTCTCACCACAACCTCTGCCTCCCGGGTTCAAGTGATTGTCCTGCCTCAGCCTCCCAAGTAGCTGGGACTACAGGCATGTAGTCCCGGCTGATTTTGTATTTTTAGTAGAGATGTGGTTTCACTATGTTGGCCTCGAACTCCTGACCTCGTGATCCACCTGCCTCGGCCTCCCAGAGTGCTGGGATTACAGGCATGAGCCACCGTGCCCAGCTGAGCCTGGAGAATTTATGCACCTGTGGGAATCTGTGGTCCCTCCTGCAATGGGAGGAATCCCCAGTCCTGAGGGAACAAGGTTTGGAGCAGCTTCTTCTACTGAAAAAAGTAGGGAACCCCCTGGTACCAGAGAGTTTATCTATCAGACAACGCAAAGTCAGAGCCCCCAGGGGCACTTTTGGACAAACCTGCTCACGCACCACAGGTCTGTAGCCGAAGTCACTATTTTGTACAAGCCGTGGGTGGCATTAAAAATCAGTGCAGGGCAAATGGAATGGCAAATGTTCAAACAACGGACAGAGAGCCTCAGTGAGTGAGACTATGAGGCAAGGCTTCATAAGAGAGAATTTCTTCAGGGCCTGCAGGGGTCGGTCAGGCTTGGACATGGCACGTGGTGGCAAGAGTGTTCACACTAAGATGTCAACCTAAACCAAGGTCACAGGGAACAGAGAGGAGCTGGGAACATTCCTCACATCAGAACATGGCTGGCTGTCAACACCTGAAACACCCCACCGTTGGATAGGAGTTCACCAAAACAGAGGAACCATGTTCTGTTAAGATTTCAGAACAGAATTCAGAAACATCATTTCCACCAAGTAGATTATAAGACTGGTGATTTCCGCCCATGAACACTTGTTAGCGTTTGCTCTGCTGTCCTGAAACAGTTGGTCTTCTGTTCCATTAGAATCCAGCTAAATTTTTTAAAATTATTCTTCTAGGCCTCAAATTTTGCTACTTCATTAGCATAATGAAATTTTATTGTTCCCAAATATACTATTCTTGCCAGCTCAATTCAGAGGCTGCAATTTTTAATGTGTTTTTTTTTTTTTTTTTGACTGTTTGGGGCAAGCTACCTAGTTTAGAGCTATCTCAGGATAAAGAACTTCTGGAACAAACCATCAGTTTCTAAGTCCTGACAAGGAATGTCTAACAAAAGCACTTTTTGCACAAGGCGAGGAGCTGGCAGCCAAGCTGCGGACCTGGCACCCAGCCTCCTCTCCCTGCTCTGCGGCTCGATGGCTGCCTTTGTCATTGGATCTGTGATGCAAGTAATTCTAAATGACCCCAAAGTGTTTTTCTCTCCTTTATATTGTTTGTCTTGAGGTAGACTGGGTGTTAAAGATAAGCCAGGCTTGGAAGCATGGTTAGAACCAAGTGTGACTAATCGCTGCCACTCGTGCAAGGAATACTTCTTCTCCCATATGCCAGGACACATCCCTCCCTCATTCTCTGCTCGGTCAAGTCCTGCTCTCCAGTCCCCATCCACCGCCAAGGAAAGGCCTCTAGTGGACAGGAAACTGGGCTGGGGCCATACCAGCTCCCCAGTGCACGGTGTGGTGTGTGCAGCCGGGGCTGATCCGTGTGCGTGTCCTCCCTGCCGGCTGTTCGCTCCCCTGGTTGACTCAGCTCCTCCTTTGCGGTGTGTGCTCCCCTACGTGGGGGGAAAACACGGGGTTGTCCTCTAAGCTCTGCCAGGAGCACACATTGGGTTTATTGTATGTCAGTGGCTTCTGGGCATCCGGTTTCTTATCCATAAGAAAAGAAGGCTGGCACCTATGAGGCGTGCCCTCCCTCCCCAAGTCCACGTCCATGACAGACATCTTCCATTGATCACGCCCTTGGGCTCCGACGTGAACCCAGAATCCTTCTCAATTCTGGGCTCCAGGCAGCCACCACCAACCCACTGTTATTGGCTTTTTTAATGAAAGTGATTTGCCATTCTGGGGCTAAGCTTCCTTTCAGATCTAACAGCCTATTACTGTATGAAATGAATGCAACAGCAATATGGCATTCAGAACAGTGGGCTAGACCAGCCAATCCTGCTATTTATATATTCCTTTTTTTGTAGTTAACTTCAAGTGAAGGCTGATCAGTTTGTTTTTTTTTTAAGACAGAACATACTTTTATTTGAAGTAAAATATCTCCAAATTCATGTATGAGCCTTGACGCCCTTTTGTAGGACAATAGAATATCTTTGGTCTTATATTTTGAACCAGATTCCAAATGAGAACCAACTTTTTAAAAAATCATTTTGTAGCTCAGGCAACTGATATCTGGTTATGTTCTCCAAGTCCATTTCCTTCTTCCTTGTTGTAAATTTTACAAAATTTAAGCAATCAGATTAGGATGAACAACTGATGACGAATCTTTCTTTGGTGAAATGAATTCAGTAGATCTAGTAGCCCATGCACGTGCAAGACAGGGGAACAGAGTCCTGGGTGTTAGCAGCCATCAAGCCCCACATGGGAGCTTTAGGCTGAGGCTCTCGGAGCCTTAGAAAGATAACAGTCTTATTGTGCTTTGGCCACGTCACGGTCTTCGACAGTTGGCACATGTCTCTATAGGACAGTAAGTTCCTCCAGGAGAGAGACTGCTTGAGATCAACCAAAGAACTGTGGATAAATTGGTTTTTGAGTGAATCTTCTGTGTTCGGGCCTTCAAGAAGCAGACTTGAAAATGTTTTGGGGGTCTTAGAAGGCAGCCTGCACTCTGTCCGGAAAAACATACTCATCACTGTCAGGCAGTGAAAAGATCCCAAGAATCCTTTCTTTCTTGGAACACTATTCCTGGAAAAGTGAGCCTGAATATTGCTTCCAGGCCTGACTGCAGTTTCTGTTAGGCTGATCCAATTTGCAACCTCTCCAGCAGGCACTCAATGTCCCAGGGCAAGGAGGGGGCGCTTTTTGAAGAATCAGTATCAGATGCTGAGGCCATCCCAATCATTGGCCTTTGGGCAAAACGCATAAACTTGAAATGGCAAAACTCCCAACAAAGTTCATTAGAACATCTGGGCACCTTATCAGGGATTTATCAAGCTTTCCAGAGTTGATCCTAGCCTTGTTTTAATGAAAATCGCCTGTTGATGAACAATTTATGCCAAGAATTTTTCCTTTTCTTCTCCTCTTTCTCCTTCTGCTTCTCCTTCTTCTCTCTCCACAACTCTGGCTTTTATCACTGCAAAAGTTAATTCTGAAACAGTGAACAAGCCTCATATGTCCAGGCCTGCTATATACACTGTTATTATCAAACATTTGTGCTTAGGTTAACCACTCTATGTCAACATAAAATAAGTGTAGTGGACATCCATCATCACAGCTTGAACTGGGGAATGGCATGAGGTTGAATTACCCTCTACTTTTGCAACTGGGTCATTGGCCAAGACAACACAACCTTTCAGTCTTCATTTGTATAAGTTAAGAAAGATCGTCATATGTTTTACTGATTTTAAAACTGGTAATTTTATACTAGTCACATATTTCAATTAACTAATTGTTATTCCTCTGTAATTGTGCCCTAAGATGACTTAACCCTAGAAGTTGCCATTATAAAATTAAAATAAATAACTATATTCTGACAGAGTACTACCCATCATATAAATTAACAACCTTTGTTCATAGCCTTGGGGAAAAATAATGCTCTTTGAATAATCAAAATGCTATTACCATAACATTACCATACACTTTTATTTCTCTGCTCTCACCTGACTCAGTTGGTATGTTTGGTTTTTTTTTTTCTTTTTTTTTTTTTTGATTCCTTGATTTACATGAATAAATTAGCTTACAATGGCAGTTAATGAGACAAAGAAAGGGGATACTGTTGCAGGCTAAGTGAGGGGCAACCTTGGGAATGGAAATTCTCAGAAAACTCTCCAGGCCTAAAGATAGAAACTCTAGAGCCCTAGTGGTCTGGAAGACATAAAAGATGCCCGAGCCTGGAAAGAGGAGTCAAAACTCAAGGATCTGAAAAGCCAGTGGGTGGTAAATACATTTTACAGGAGGCCGTTGGTTTGGACAAAGCCAGTCCCCAGCAGACCACACCAAGCCAGAATGGAGTCCCTCGTGCTCAGCGCCACATAATCAAGCTCAACTTTGAAACAGGTCGGTTTTCCCCAAAAACCCAGGATATTACAGTCAACCTGAATCCTCGTAATAAGGAAGTCCCCTCTGTTTTAACCCTACAAAGAAAGTAACTTGGATGCACCCAATCTGCTTTTTTGTCCCATCTCTGATTTCCTCAGCCCTTTTCTGCCTATAGAGCTAACCACCTCAGGCTGGGCACAGTGGCTCACGCCTGTAATCCCAACACTTTGGGATGCCGAGGTGGGCAGATCACCTGTGGTCAGGAGTTCGAGACCAACCTGGCCAACATGGTGAAACCCTGTCTCTACCAAAAATACAAAAATTAGCTGGGCGTAGTGGCAGATGCCTGTAATCCCAGCTACTCGGGAGGCTGAGGCATGAGAATTGCCTGAACCTCGGAGGTGGAGGTTGCAGTGAGCCTAGATCGCGCCATTGTACTCCACCCTGGGCATCAAGAGCGAAACTCCGTCAAAACAAAAACAAAAACAAAAAAAAAACACACACAAAAAAAACAAACAAACAAAAACAACTAACTGCCCCTGCTCATCTCATTGGAGCACCCATTCTACTTTACAGAATGCGATGTTGCCCGATTCTAGAATCACAAGTAAAAGTCAATTCGATCTTTGAACTATATTTGTGGTAATTTTGTCTTTTGATAATGGGGTTGAGGGGAGCGAGGGATGAGTAGTTGGAACACGGATTATCTTTAGGGTGGTGAGACTGCTCTGTGTGATACTACAGTGGTGGATAATGTCACTAGACATTTACTCAAACCATAGAATGTATTAAATATAACTCCAAGACTGAGCCCTAATGCAAACCATGTGCTCTGAGTGATAATGATGCATCAATGCAGGCTCATCCATTGTAAGTAACGTCTCACACGGGTGGGGGATGCTGATGGTCGGGGAGGCTGAGAGGGGGACGGGGGTGCATGGGAAATCTCTGTGCTCTCCCCTCAAGTTGTGAACCTAAAACTGCTTTAAAAAATAGAGTCTATTTAAAAAATTGTGTACAATGGGATCTGTATCTCCACAGCTGTAGATTTAGTGTTTCATTGTCCACATGCAACAGAACAGTACTGGATCTTCCATTTGGAGACAACTTGCCTTAGAAATGAAGCTTTTGAATCCAAAGAGAACATCTAAACCAGGGGCTTTCTGCTGGTCTCCTGGTTACATCATTAGGATATTATCTTAACGACACACAGCAGCCAAATACATTCAGTCACTCACCTTAAAGTCTATGCTGTTTCTCCTCACTAAATCCCCAGGCCCTGAGGGCAGAGTCTGAACACAGACCCCTCCTAGTCAGCCCTAGAGAACCATATGGTGGTGTGGCATGGTGGTTGGGATGAGGTATTTAAAAGACTGTTTCTCTTTTCAGTCACAGGAGAGCGAAAGACATTTCCAGTTCGTTAAATGAAGCACAGAGGCTAAGCCAGAGGCAGCATTATTCCTACGTCCTTAGGTTTTCTAAGAGGGAATGAAATTTCCACTACACTCCTCCGGGGAAAAGCTGGGGAGGAGTCTTGCAGCTTCGCTCCATCCCTCCCCTCTCCTCCCCAGAGAATGGCGACCTCTGTTTAACGGGTTCATTTGGGAGAAGGAAGTAAGGGCAAGCGCACCTCTGCCTCTCCTGGGATCCCCATCTTCAGGCCTGGTCAGGGGTCCTGCCCTGCTCTCTCCAGCAGGGTGGGGGATGGCAGCTAGGACTGTGCTTGAGGCTCATGGGGAGTTTGACCTTTCCAAGCGTTTTTTTTTTTTTTTTAATTTAAAAAGCCCTTGTGGCTGCCGGTCCTGCATTTTTCATCAGAGCTAGTAGTTTTTCATCTCTATCTGATTCTTGCAATTCCATCCAATATCTCATGAGCCATGGGGGACAGGATCCTAAAAATCACAGCAGGGTAAGGTGGAGGGTTGAAATCTATGTACAGAAAATGGTATGTCCACAGGTCTAGCAAAAGAAGGAGGGTGGAGCTCATGCCCAAGGACCAAAGAATGCCCAGGTCCTCCTCTCTGCTGTCCGTCTAGCCCAAGGAAGAGACAAAGGATGGAGGGAACTCCTGGCCTTCTCTGCTCAGGGCCTTACTTGTTCTTGTTGTGTCTTGCATGTACATCTCTTTCTCCAAGCCACATCTCCAGAACCTGCCAACCTGGTTGAGGCACTGTCTTCATTTTATTCTCTTCTTTATTTTTAAACTCACTTTTAAATTTCATACATAATGTACAAATATAGTCTCACTATAAAAATGTTAAATGCTAGAAAGTAAATATCCCACCTAAACTTCCCCCAACCCCCCACTCCATCCTCCATCTTAACACTTTTCTCTGAGAACAACCTCCTGCAAACATTTCCTGAAGACCCACTTCAGGGCCCTCTGCTGTGATGAGGTCCACCTCTCCAGAACACACTACCTGCCACCCCCTCTCCCAAGGACCAGATTCAGCTTATTTAACACCCAGTGTAGCTACAGGTTATCAGAAACATATTGACTAAATGCAACGCGTGAATCTTTCTTGGATCCATGATTCAAACAAACAAACAGGATCATTAATAGACACTGATGAGACATTTGGAAATGTGAGCCATGACTGGATATGGGATGATGATCAGGAATCATTGTTAATATTGTTGACATGTGACAATGGATTTGGGTCTTTATATTTACAAGTCCTCGTCTTTTAGATATATAATCTGAAACCTGTATGACTGAACTTATATGAGGCCTGGAATTTTCTTCAGAATGGTACTGAGCAGGGGGCAGAAGGTGGGGGTAAAATTGAAACAAGATTGGCCATGCGTGGATAATTGTTGAAGCTGACTGTGGGAATCTGGAGGTTTTCTTTTGCATGTGCTTAGAATTTTCCATAATAAATGTTTAAAAAAAAAAAAAAGCACAAGGCCCTGGCCGAGTTTCACTGATACAGTCCTGGGGAATGAATCTGTTCTTGTCACCTTCAGGACCTCTGGAGTTGGGGACAGCTGACAGACGGGGAGGGCTGCTGGCAGGTGTGGGCACTCACCCAGCTGAGAAGGGGCTCCAGGAGTGGGAGTGGTCCTGACCCCATTAATGAAACTGGACTACTCTCCGCAGAATGCCAAGCTCAGTCTTGGACTCAGATGGAAAACATGAACAGTATACTTTGCAATGACCCCAGCTTTGAGGTTCCCGTCATTTCATTTTAGGACTAGGTTCCCACACCCCGTCTTAATTTGAAACATTCAGGCACATCTCTTCCCCATTATGAAGCAGCGGAGACATGAAGGTCTTAGAAGCAGCCTTGCTCTGTGATTGCACGGTGGAGTTTCTGCCCCGGAACGTGGGCGTTCTGACACATGGGATGCTAGAAGCAGATGTGGCTGAGCAGAGCTTAGGACTGTACCCAGGAGTGAGAGATGATTGGGATATTTACTTTGAAAAGTAGCCTCTGTAGATGGGAAATGATTAATTCACTATGAGGAATTTTATATTCTGCAGGGTGATACCCTCAGGAAAGAAAGGGCCTCTCTGAGAAAGCCAGATTGAGAAAGTCTCCCTTGGTGTCCCAGCACATCAAAGCCCCTTCCTTCCCACAGTCACTTAATTGTCTGCCTTCACAGAGAAGGGAAGCAGCAAGAAAGCCAGGGATGGGGAGAGGGAGAGAGGGAGAAAAGCTATTTTACCTGCTTTGGAAAAGTTGTGGATCATCCAAGGACATTAGCAAGAAAGTGAAAAGACAACCTATAGAATGGGAAATATATATTTAGAAATCATGTATCTGATAAAGGTTTAACATCCAGAATATGTAAAGAATGCCCACAACTCAACAACAGAAAGACATACAACCCAATTTTAAAATGTTCAAAGACTTTGAACAGACATTTCTCCAAAGAAGATACACGAATGGCCAATAAGGACATGACAAATCAGCATCATTAGTGCCTAGGGAAATGCAGATGAAACCCCAAGGAGATGTCACTTCACACCCACTAAAATGACTATAACAAAAGTTAAATAAAAAGTGGAAAACAAGTATTGCTGAAGATATAGGGAAATTAGAGCCCTCATACTTGCTGGTGGAAATGTAAAATGGTGTAGCTGCTATGGAAAACAGTTGGATGGTCCCTCAAAAAACTAAAACAATGACCATATAACCCAGCAATTCTGCTCTTAGGAATATACCCAAACGAATTGAAAGCAGGGCCTTGAACAGTTACTTACCCATGTCCACACAGCACTATCCACAATGGCTGACAGGTGGAAACAACCCAACTGTCCATCAACAGATAAATGGAGAAATAAAATGTGGCACATAAGTACAATGGAATGTGATTCAACCATATAAAGGAAGGACATTCTGACACATGCTCCAACATGGTCGCACCTTGAGAACATTATGCTAGGTGAAATAAGCCAGACACAAAAGAACACATAGTGTATAGTTCCACCTCCATGAAACACCTAGAATAGGCAAATTCACAGAGACAGAAAGTGGATTCAGTTAGTGAGGGGAGGGGGATAGGGAAAGGGAGGAACGGGAAATCGTTGTTTAATAACCAGTAGGCAGGGTTTCTGCTTGAGATGATGCAAACATTTGGGAACTAGATATGGGGACAGTTGCACAGATTTGTGAATGTAATTAATGCTGCTGATTGTACACTTAAAAAATTGTTAAAGGGGCTGGGTGCGGTGGCTCACACCTGTAATCCCAGCACTTTGGGAGGCCAAGGCGAGTGGATGACCTGAGGTCAGGAGTTCGAGACCAGCCTGGCCAACATAGTGAAACCCTATCTCTACTAAAAAATACAAAAATCAGCTGGGCGTGGTGGCAGGTGCCTGTAATCCCAGCTACTCGGGATTGAGGCAGGAGAGTCGCTTGAACCCAGGAGGTGGAGGTTGCAACAAGCTGAGATTGCGCCATTGCACTCTAGCCTGGAAGACAGAGCAAGATTCTGTCTCAAAAAAAAAAAATTATTTTACCACCATTTTAAAAAATGAATAGCATCATATGCCAAAAACCACTGAATTATGCACTTTATATGGGTGAGTTGTAAAGTATATGAATTATATCTCAATAAAGGTGAAAAATAAAAACAATTCACATACACACACACACAACCCTCAAAAAAGTTGTGAGTCCTCACCCAAGTCCACGCTGATGTCCACCAAAGACGTAATTTTCAGAGCGGATGAATCCGCCCACACCCAGTGTTAAGTGAAGTGGCGTCACCTGCAACGGTGATGTTTCTGATCACCGTGAGAGGCACGAGCACCTCCCACCATCTGTGTCAGCTGTGATTGGCCTGTGCTGTCCTGCGGATGCCAGTGGAACTGGGTTTTAGCTGTAACATGTGCCTTCATGTCTTCACAGATCGTGTCTTCAGCGTGTGAGGGAAACGGCTCTTCCAGCATCTTCTCAGCCCCTCTGCAGTGGACACTGACCAGTGTTTATAGAACCCAGTTTGAGACCCTCTTGGTGAATCTGGACAACTGAGCCATTCACTCTTCCTTATAAAACATGAGCAACGTAGGGGGGAGAGCAGACACTGTCCAAGACTTTGGTCCCCTCACATAGTGCAAGCTGAGTGGGGAGAAGCCAGGAGCCCCCTGCAAAGGAGGCTGCCATCTCACCCTGGACCCCACAGGGCCTCCCTGGCCTCCCCAGCCTCTCCCCACAGCCTCCTCCTGCCCGTGCTCCAGCCTCACCACCTAGCACTCCTCCCTCAGCAGGCACAGTGCCCCGCAAATGCTCCAGACTGTCCAGGAATCCTTCAGCCTGAAAAACCCTCCATCCCTTATCCACTGACTTGACTTTATTTCTGGGTCTCAGTCCACTGCTACCTCACCTTCGAACCCTTTCCAGACCCTGGCAATCTGAGTTAGTTGATCTTCCTCTGTGCTCCCAACTTTGACATAGAACTTGTATTGTCCTTGTCTATCTCTGTTTGATCTCTGAAGTCCTTGAGGACAGGGGCTGTGTGTGCATCTCTGCATCCCCATTGCTTAGCACAGTGATTGACACACAATCAGCTCTCACATGTTTGTTGAATGAATGAATGAGTGAATGGCAGGACCACCACATTAGACAACCCAGGGGACAACACTCACATTGAGGGGGCAGGGGAAGTTGCAAATAAAAGTACTGCCTGGAGCTGTACAGCTGGGAGATCTTGAATGATTGCCTCTCTATATCCCCAAATGGAATCCCATCCTCTGAAGACGGTACACAGGGTGTTGTACCCCCAGCTTTCACACTAAGATGGCCACTCATCCAAGATCCTCCAAAATGATTCTTCACTGGCCAGTCCTGGTAATGTCTGTTCCTACAACCTACTTTGAAGATTCGATTTTGCACTCCAAGGGTCTCCAGAGAGGGTCCTCTCCTCATTCTGTGCTTGTGTGTTGGATGGGCCAAGGGAGGGAACTAACTTTTGATTCCATTTCCTCCGTTATCACGCCAGCTTCTTCAAACTGCCTCACTTGGGATTTCAGTCAAAACCACAAAAATAAACTATATTTTCTAATTTTTCATTTTCTGAATATTACATTTTTATGTGGATAGCAATACCAGTGATTGTGTCCCTATATTTCCCTGAACGGTCTAGAGGTCATTCTAATAACATATGAAGTGTATTTCAAAGAGTCCCCACATCAGAGCAGCTTAACAATAGTGGATTGTCAGCATGAATTCCTGCTATATAAGATTTCCAAATGCATCTCAGAGTCTCTGGCTAACACCAGTTTGTGCCCCTTCGTGCTAATATGGAAACTACAATCAACTGAACATTTTTTTTTTTTTTGTAAATGAGTATGTGTTGGAGATTTTTTTTTTACTGCATAATAAAAGCAACATAAAATGAATTTGCTCCAGTGCTTCTTCACACTTCAAAACTCCATGCCCCACCTGCTTGTGCTATTCTTTACTTGGCACCCTGCCCGGACTGTAACTAGGTTATCAGCCGGGTGATGGCAGGAGCCTCCAGCCTGTGCGCTTCAGTCGAGCCCGGGTGTCCCACGGAGGTCCGCGCGGCGCTGATGGAGACCGGGATCAGTTTGCACCCCAAGGGGACTTGGCCACTCTGGATATTGCTTTTATAGACTCCGGTTGTTTCTGACTCTATGTTTTTTATTACATTCCTTTGCAATTCTAGCAGCTGTTTTTGTCAAGAGTCTTAATAAAGTTTGAACTGCTAAACGAACTTTATGGAAATTGGTCACAGAAGAAGTCTATGCGGCACCTTTCAGAAAACCAGAGGTTACGTTGCCCCTGGGCTACCTCCGCAGTAACAGTAGTGACAAACAAACCTAACAGCGTGGGTGAAGGATGATGGTTTGGCAACCAATTTCTGACTCGATTTCTGAGAGACTACCATCCACACACACACTTAGTTTCTTTAGATCTATTTACCACAATTTATTAGAAACATTTGGCTGCATGGCTCAAATGGTGAAGTTGCTCTAAGGACCTTTAAAGAGAGTCAACTCATGTTTGGTGTTTTGTTTTGCTTTGGTTTTATTTCATGTTGCTTTTCAATTTTATAAACCTAAGACTCGGAATAATTGAACTTAGAAACTTTCTATGAAAGAAAAATAAAGTGTCTGAGATACTCTTAGTTTCTCTCTCATTGCTTAATTATACTAAAATGTTGGTCAATTTTGTTATGCATATTAATTTGGCCATGAGGTTAACTTGATTTGATGGCATCTCTAGGAGCCAGTGAAAAACTCAAACCCCATTTTAGACTTGCCTTGGGTATACTGGTTTACCATCCACTTCACATACCGATGTTATGGAAGAATAATTCATCAACAGACCAAAACTAACCATTCATCAGTTTGGGGTGTGACTTCATCCATTTCCATGAATAAAACAGACCCTAAAAGCAATAAAGCAAACTGTTTCATAGCCTTAGTCCGGCAGCTGGATGCCCTCCATCCTGGATAGTCCTGGATTATAATGGGTCCTTTATGAAACATCTCTTTGAAAAATTGGTGTTGCCACCAAACAGAGTTAGTTATTAGCAACACTGCAGCTAGTTGAACTAAAATATTTCTATATAGATGACCCAGTGACTCACCTCAGACTTATGAGGTGTAAAATGCAGAGGTCAGGTTAGATGGTCTTTAAAGATCCTCACACCTCTAACACTGGGGCTTTCTAGGACACAGTGAGAATTCTAGGATGAGAGAAGATAGCCAAAGCGGCGGAGTCGCACTAGGTGGAAGGCACTGGTAACAGAGTGCTTTCACTGCGGAATAAGCAGACACTTCCCCTGTTCCAGGTGGGCTGCGGCGAAAAGCAGGTGACGCCCGGGTGCAGCTGGGTCAAGCTCCAAAGCAAACCAACCTTCACAGAGCCAGTGGCTCCAGGGTCAGCACTCACATCCAGCTTCCTCTCCAGACTGCTGAGAAGTGCATCTGAGTTCAATTTGCTTTTGTCTGTCAGAATCTATTCCAACAAAAAGGAGAGGGAAAACGTAATCATGGTGAAGGACCCCACATCCTCTGCGATGACGTCACAGCGAAACACTCACTCGAGATGATTTACAGCTCCGTTCTCAGTTCCCAGCACCGAGAGTCAGTGGACACTTCTTTATATTGTTCTTGCTACTTTAAAAAATGGCCCGATTCCAATCACTTACTTATGTTCTGATACCCTAACGCCTGTGCTTCGAACGGCAACCGAATCTGCTGCTCATTACGATGACCTTCTTCACTTCCTCCTGTCCACATCACAAAAGCACACTTTCCTTTAGCGACCAGTGGAGGGTGCTGTTGTATTTGGTGTGTTTCCACCTTCCCTCCTCTCAGGACAGTTTTTGTTTTTTTTTTTCCCTAAGGGAAAAGGGCTCTTTCCCATAGTAATGTGAACATGATGTATGATAATGAAAACAATAACTACATCAACATATTTTCCCCAGAAGTTGTTTTTTTTTTTTTTTCAGAGCATGAATGTAGGGCTCTTAGCTATAATACACTAAGATAAATGAATGGACTTTAGAGAAGTGTGGAAGGTATTGAAAAATGCTTTCAAGATGGACATGGGCTTCGCAGACCTTGTAATTTAATGATTTTGACTACTGGATATTAGGAGTTTCATTACATGTCATCGTTCAATAGTTTAAAGATAATATAACAGCAATAAAACGTAGCAAACAGCAAGAATAACATCTGGCCACAATCAGCCCACTGTCATAAAATAGACTCCCTGACTGCCTTTCACAGGGCATGAACCTGGCAAGAATGAATGATAGAAAGACACACTTTCAGACCGAGTTGTGACAGCTGAATATTATTTCCAACCACTACACTCAAGATCTGTGCTAGGCATTGCTCCATTCCCTCCCTGAAGCCTGAACTCAAAACACTCAATTTTGTTCTTGCCTTTTCCTTTCCCACAGTAAACTTCTGCTTCTACGTGACAATATCTTTTTTATAGTTTCTTGCTAATTGGATTTTGCTCTGTACCACACAGGTAACCTAATAAATCGATTTAAGAAGCACAGCAAGCTTATAGCATGCTCCAAAAGAATCTAGAACAACAAGTAAGGAAACCTGGCTTTAGTTCAAGCACTTTCATGAATCCCTAGGAGGGCTGCCAGATAAAACACAAGACATATAGTTAAATTGGAATTTTAGATAAACAACAAATAACTTTTTAGTATAAGTATGTCCCAGATGATATTTGGGATATATCTATGCTTAAACCTGTCTGTTGTTTATCTGAAATTTAAATTTAATGGGGCTTCCAGTAATTTTATTCGCTGAATCTGTCAACCCTAACCATCAAGGACAGCCAAACTTGGAATGACTGCACTATGCTGTCTACAGAATTTCAAGTTTAAAATCTTATTTGTCTATCTTGCATGAAAATATTTTTTAAAGACTGAATTTACATTCATTTAAAAATGTGACTGCTTTATAGCTTTTGAAGAAGATAAAGGTTTCCTTTCTCTCTTAGCCTAAAGAGCTTTCTGCTGCCAAAAGCCAGATGGAGATAATTTGGCTGATTTATTATTCTGATTGATGGAAAACTCAGCTTAGGAAATGAGGTTTTTGTAAAGCAAGGCTGACAGATAACAACAGGATTCAGCCCAAGTTACACCAAACGAGTCAAAGACTTAGCTGCTTTTCTGCCAAACCCAGGTAGAAACCAAGGGGCTGGAACAACGGCCCGCCCAATGTCATCTCTGGTGTGGCATCTGTCACTCATTAACTTTGCTTCCATCTTGGTCACCTGAGCAGAATACCCAGCTCTAGCTGCTGCCTGGGTTTTTTTTCCCCGGGAACAACCAAGCAGGTATTTTGGAATGCTCAGCAAATAGTGGTGCCTACACAAGAAAGAGAGAATAAGCCAGGGTCCCCAGCAGCCAAGTAAGTTAGGCATGTAGGGATGCCCCACTGGCTTTCGGACAATCAGTGAAGCTGGAATCCATGACGCTTCCTCAGCTGCCGGTGTCACTGCTCCCTTAGGAGCTGAACTGAACCGTGCAGATGTGGAGAAAAGGGAACCTTTGCATACCGTTGGTGGGAACGTAAACTAATACAGGTATTCTGGAAACCAGTATGGAGGGTCCTTAAAAAACTAACAATAGAACTACCACACAATCCAGCAATCCCACTTTGGGGTATATGCTCAAAGGATTTGAAGTCAGTACGTTAAAGGAATGTCTTCACCCCCATGTTCATTGCAGCACTATTCGCAATAGCCAAGATATGGAGTCAACCTAAGTGTCCAGCAATGGATGAACAAATAAAGAAAATGTGGTGTATATATTCACAGTGGAACACCACTCAGACTTTAAAAAGAAGGAAATGCTTTCATTTTTGACAACATGGATTGACCTGGAGGACATTATGGTAAGTAAATTAAGCCAGGCACAGAGAGGCAGATACCATGTGATCTCACTTATATGTGGAATCCAAAACACGCAAACACATAGAATTAGAAAGTGGAATAGTGGTTACCAAGGGCAGGACAGTGGATGGACTGGGGAGATGCTGGTCAAAGGGTGCAAAATTTCAGTTAGGAGAAATACATTTTTGTGATCTACTGCAGAGCATGATGACTATAGTTAATAATAATGTATTATGTATTTCAAAATGGCCAAGAGTAAATTTAAAGCGTTCTCACCATAAAAAATAAGTATATGAGGTGATGGATCTGTTAACTGGCTTGATTTAATCATTCTACAGGGTATACCTATATCACAGCATCATGGTGTACCCCATAAGTATATAAAATTTAATTTGTCAATTAAAAATTAAAAATAAATTTTAAAACTTAATAAATGAAAAAAGTCACTGAAAAGTAAAAGAAAAATAACATTTTTTCTAGGTGCAAAACAGTTTTTTTGGAGATGAGGTCTCACTCTGACACCTAGGCTGGAGTACAGTGGTGCTCACTGCAGCTTCAAACTCCCAGGCTCAAGCAATCCTCTCCCCTTAGCCTCCCAAGTAGCTGAGACTAAAGGTGTGTGCCACCATACCTGACTAATTTTTAAAATTTTTTGTAGAGTTGGAGTTTCGCCATGTTGCCCAGGCTGGTTTGGAACTCTTGGGCTTAAGTGATCCACCCACCTTGGCCTCCCAAAGTGCTGGGATTACAGGTGTGAGCCACCATTCCCAGCCAGATGCAAAACAATTTTTAATTAAAAAAAATTGTAGATTTTTCTTAAAAAAAAAAAAGAAAGAGAAAGGAAGAAAGAAAGAAAGAAAGAAAGAAAGAAAGAAAGAAAGAAAGAAAGAAAACTCAATGTAACACCAGAGAGTAGCCCAAGGACTGAGCAGAGGAAAGCCTACTGCCACTGCCATTAGCACCAACACACGTGATACAATGAAGAGATCAAAACCCAGTGTATAATTATTATTGTTGAATCCCCCAAAATGTCACCAGTCAATTAACTGCTAATTAAGCAAAATTAAGTTTATTTGAGCTCATTGCAGGAAGAGACAACATCACCTTAACGGAATCTTAGCAGAGTCTCAGAAGAACAAAGCCAGCAGTGGAGCCTTCTGACTTTGGGCTCTGGGCTCGAGTTGTTTAAGGCAGGTATTCCAAGGTAAGGAATGATAGGGACTGGGCATTTGGGATTGGTGGATGCATCAAAATGACTGTCTCGAAGTGAGTGTGGGTAAGTTCACTGTTTTTTAAATAAGCAAGCTGTTTGCCTTGGTGAGCAGGCTATTTTCTCCAATAAATTGACTGAAGAAATTTCCTGAAGCAAACAGTGAAAATAATTTTTGATTTTCAACCTTATCTCCCCTGGGCAAAGTGTCCCATGAACAAACAAATCATGTTGACATGGGTGGTCTCAATTCTATCTTCACACAGCAACTTTTGGTTTCAGTTGAACCCTAATAGAGAGTTCCTACTTACATGATCACCCACTATATGCTGAGCACGTTCTACATGTTTTATGAAGAAACATGAAAGTAACTATTGGTGTCCCCATTTATTGACAAAGAAACAAGTCTAAAAGCTATTAAGTCATTTGCAAAACCCTTCTGGATCAATCATTTCCTGAAAGAAAAAGATGGCACAGAAGTAAGTTTTATCTGACATAAATAGAAACTGAGGCAGGTTTAAAGGTTTGGGCCAAAGTCTACAGCCCTCTGGAATGACTCTAGGATGACTTTGAAGGATGTGAACTTTGTTCGCCTCATCTCCTGTCTATAGATCATAAGTAATTGCGGTTTTTGCCATTAAAACTTTTGCCATTACTTTTAAATGGCAAAAACCTCAATTACTTTTCCACCAACCTAACAGCATATTTTCCTCCTCCTTCCTTTTTTTTTTTTTGAGACAGAGTCTTGCTCTGTCACCCAGGCTGGAGTGCAGTAGTGCAATCTCGGCTCACTGCAAGCTCCACCTCCCGGGTTCAAGCTATTCTCCTGCCTCAGCCTCCCGAGTAGCTGGGACTACAGGCGCCCGCCACCACGCCCAGCTAATTTTTTGTATTTTTAGTAGAGATGGGGTTTCACCGTGTTAATCAGGATTGTCTCGATCTCCAGACCTCGTGATCCGCCCACCTCGGCCTCCCAAAGTGCTGGGATTACAGGCATGAGCCACCGTGCCCAGCTCCTCCTCCTTCTTGATGCCCCTTTACATCAAGAAAATCACAGTTCCTGTCCAAGAGAAGTTCACAGTCTGATTTATTCACTTAACAACTAACTTAGCATCTACTCTCCCTACTCGCAAACTGAATAGTATGGGCACCTTAAGACCCCACACCTCAGGACGGGGTTTGCACTCAGAAGGTCACCTTTCCCCAGCGTGGACTTCATGTGAGGCATGAGAAACTATCACGTTACTTTCCTAAGGAATTAAATGGTCTGAGCACTGTAGCAACTTTTCTTTCTCAGTATAATCCATGAAAAACATGGCCTAAATCATGATAACACTAAGCCCCAAATTTTCAGAGTAGGACATGAAATTATATCTTAGTGACTTCCTTTGACCCAAAAGAAAAATGCAAAGCTGGCCTCACTTGGTTTATCTTCATGTTAATCGTGAAGGAGGAGTGTGTTTAAAACACCAGCAGACGAATGCCATTTTTCAACTTTTTCCACACAATGTTAGGTGCCTCTTGAGCTACGGTATTTGTTTAAATCATCGACTCCAATGACCCTACTCTCTCTATTTATTATGCTTTGGATGAAATAATATTGTAGGAGTTCCTATTTTTTAAATTCCATGCTACTATAAAATATACACTGGATCCATCACTATTTCACCAATCCGTTCATGACTTTGAAATCATAAATGGGTTAGCTTCAAACCTTCCTTTTCTGAGAAAAATAAGATAAACCCTGTTTCATTTACTTTGGAAAGTGCTAGCTTCTTTATTTCAAATACACAGCTCAGATTTATGTTTTCTTTTTAATAGATTTTTCTGTTTTTCTAATGCCTAGCCTGGATGATCATCTTTGGAAAACAGAACTGCTTTTGGACAAATGCTGATATCACAGATTAAAAGGGGATATAACTCTTTACACATGAAAGGGAAGATTTCCCTTAGTTCTTACCTCAGCAATAACAGCAGCAATAGATTCTATCCAAGAAGTTTTAATCACATATGTCAGCATGACATTTTTATAATAAAGAGAACTTAATTATTAACTGATCACAAATTAACTATCTATTATTGTGTTGGGCCAAATATTGTCTAAAATGAATGATCATTCTTTCTTAAAAATTCTTTCTTCCTCAAAAAGATTATATCAATTTTATTAATTGTAATGGGAGTATATTTACGTAGCTAACATACCAATGTAAACATAGGCATGATATAAATCTGTAAATTAATAGCAACACTGAAGCTATTTGAAATAACATAGTTACGTTTTGGCCATTAAGATTGACAAATAGGCCAGGTGCCATAGCTCACACCTGTAATCCCAACACTTCAGGAGGCTGAGGCAGGCAGATCTCTTGAGGTCAGGAGTTCGAGACCAACCTGGTCAACAAGATAAAACCCCGTCTCTACTAAAAATACAAAAAATTAGCCAGGTGTGGTGGCACTTGCCTGTAGTCCCAGCTACTTGGGAGGCTGAGGCAGGAGAATCGTTTGAACCCAGGAGGCATAGGTTGCAGTGAGCCAAGGTTGTGCTGCCACACTCCAGGCTGGGACTGTCTCAAAAGAAAAAAAAGAAAAGAAAAGAAAAAAAAGATTAGCAAATACATAATTGGAATAGTTGATATACCTGTTATTTCTACCCTGTCCAACCTACGGGATCTCTTTATGAGTAAATGGAATCAGGGACTTTGAAACTATGCTTAGTGTTACAAATAGCAAGTTATAAAAAAAGTGACCATTTAGAACAGCGTTTCTCAATCTTTTACTCATTACCACCCCTCCGCCAAGGAACCCTTTTTAGACATCTTCCCTAATCAATCCCCCGTATGATTCTAATATCACAGATATAGTGTTTATGTACTACATATATGTATATCTGTGACTTATATATAAAAAGGATTTTTAAAACACACCCCTTAAGAACCAATTTTTATTCATCTGGGGGCAGTATTACCCCTACTGATTTTGAGGATTTAAAAATATAGAGAAAGATAGCAGCCCCCAAATTCCCACTTGGAAAGAGGGTTGTTCTACTTTTCTTGAATCACAGCCAAAAACAATGGGCCTAGATCAAAATAAATACAAAATCATTTTCTGGGATTGGGTGGGGAAAGATAAATCTTCATTTCTAAGCTGACTTTTTTCCCCTGAAAATATTAGTTGTTATCTAACAGCAGTGAGCCTATTACTGACTGAAAGGAAATGTTGACCTTTGGTACTCAGCCCTGTATATGACCATAAACACGACTTCACCCATTACCATCATCACTCACTCATTCACTTCCTGACATTTGCCCAACCAGCTCTGCCTCAGGAGTTAGAGATGCAAGGAAGGATAACACTCAACTTGAATTTCTTCATTCCACTAATGAGACCAGCAATCTTAGAAGTAGTAAAAAAGTAAACAAATCTATGTATTCCAAAACACCTAGAATGTCTAAAGAAAGAAAGTGTATTGCTATTTCTGGAAGAGAAATAAAGCATAACATTGAGAGGCAGTGATTATGAATCACAGCCCTGTTACCGTGTACATAGAGACAATTTCCATTCTTTTGAATAAGCAAACCAACAGCCTGACTTTGGCCATCCACAAGTGTGTCAACAAATCTGCCTTAAAACTGACTTGCAAAAGTTTGAGTTACAACTTTAAAGGGCTCATAAAGGAATGGTGAGATGGTGTCTTGTGGCAGCCAGCTTCTACTTTGAATCTAATTAAGTATTTCAACCACTGTAGGTTAAAACGTTGATTCCCAAATGGGGCTTCCACACGGGAGTTGTAGTTTTTCAAAACAGTTGCCTCCTCCATTTGTTTTTGTCTCCAGCCAGCCTTAAACCTCAGGCACCACCTGCTTTAAAAGTTCCCTTTCACAGCCATGATGTAGTGGGAGGACATGCAGCTTTGGCAAGATCATGGTTCACTGAAAAGCAACTTTGCACTAGCACGCCATTTATTTCTGACATGCTGGCAAAATTGAAAAAGGCTTTAACTCCACAAGGGGTAACATTTTTCTTTAGGAAAATTGTCAACACAGGTAAAACAGCTGTGGGCAAATTAAGAGAAATTAGCTATTGAGTCAAATTCCTGTAGCTTGGGGATGATTTTCATTGACATAAACGTAGTCTAAAGTCATAAAAAGGAGTGTTTCCCAAACGAGATCCAGGGATGCTGATGATAGCGAGTCTGTGATCTATCGTCCATCTGAGAGTGAAGGGGGAAATCACATCATCCCTAACTATTTGGCTGCTCCTACTCTTGTTAACAAGGGCCGAGAGCCCCAGTAAGTAAGTGGTGGGAGGAAGGTCAGCACAGATGGGGATGTGGGGACAAATCACATGCATATGACCACCAAAAAGGGAGCTGATGTCAAACGGTATCCCAGAGGCTGGCCTGGCCAAGCTCCTCAGACAGTCTCCATCTTCTCTATGATTTAAAAGCTGCAAAGAGTATGAATGTTGTGAGAGACAATTTTGATGGTGTAAGTCTTATAAGAAGTCTGGGAAAGAATAATGGCAAAAGCCCCTTTTCACCAACTAAGAAAGAAATTACAGCCTTTCCAAAATTCCTACCCATAAGTCCAGATTTTAAACTTGGCTGCTGTCTATGAAATAATAATAATAATGAGGGCTTCCTTTGTCCAAGAGATGAGTTTCAGGGGAGAGGTAGAAAGAAGACAAAGACAGCAAAACAGATTGTCAGGGTGAAAGTAAGAGTGTAGGTGGCTATGGAGCAAGAGAGAGAATAAAATGTAGTCAAAAGAATCAGAGCACCTAGTGTTGAATTGTTCATTTACATCAACATTTCCAAAAGTATCTTCCCTGGACCATAAGTTAACTATGTTCAGAAATGCATGTTCATCTCTCACATGGTGTTTAACAGTGTCTATTTCTATATTCAATTCTCTAAGGAGTCCTGCAATGTGGGATATTTACTGTTCATTACAATAGACCATTCATGGTGGATGTCAGTTGTGTTATAAAACTAGCTTGTACCAGTTCATGAGAGCTGTTTTTAAATTTTTAGGAATTGGCAAACAGGTGTTAAAAATGTAATTGTTAAAAAATCAGTTATAAAATTACAGTTAAATACATTAAAAACAAAGGAAAATAAGCTCACCCAGTGAGTTTGTTTTTAAATTCCAGTTATTTTATTTTTTAGTTCGGCAGAGTGGGGTAACTAAAGTTATCTTTCCATCTATTTTAAGAGTGTCCACAATTGCTTTTTAGAACATTTTAATATTAATAATAGTGCCTCTAATATCTTTGTCATTTAATTCCAAAGTCTGTGTCATCTTAATAGTGTCTGTTGATTGCTTTTTGCCATCTGAGTTGAGATTTGTCTAATTCTTCCCATGCCAAGTAATTTTGGGTTGTGTCCTAGACAGTTTGACTATTATGTTATGAATGGGGTCTTGTTTAAATCCTATGGGAAATGTTGGTATTTTTGTCTTAGCAGACAATAAAATCCAGGTAGGTTCAGGCTTAAGTTCCAACCCGCCATCTTTGGTCTGTGGTTTCAAGGTCAGTTCAATTTTCAGGGCCTTTGCAGTGTTGTTTACCTATGTCCACAAATGTGCTACTCAGTGACTGCCTGGACCCTAGACGGTGGTCTGTCTGTTACTTCAGTTCTCAAAGTCCTTTGTGTGCTGATTAGAATCACATTCATTCGTGTGCAGCTCACGGGGAGCCAGGATTTCATAACCACCTTGAAGGGTTGCTTTCCCAAACTCCTTGCCCTCTGTGCTCTTGTGAGTCCTTGCTAGTTCCCCGGCCCTCCCCTTTTTGATCCTCCACCTGGAAAGCTGGAACTTTAGTTACCCCCTGTGCTGAGCCCCTCTGCAGCTGCACCCACATCCTGGACCCAGCGGTGAAGAGAACTGGAGGAAAAACCTGGTAGACTCACTGCCAGCTCAGCAGTACTTGGAGTTGTGGCCTCCTTCTCCAGTCAACCTTCCACAACTTGCTCTTCTGAGTCCTCCAGTAGCTTCTCCGTGCCTTCGTCCTGGCCCTGCAGCTACATACCACTGGAGAGATGGGGAGGAGAGGAGGAGAGCTTGCTCTGTGCCATCAGGAGCTCCCTGCAGCTTCTGTCAGCCTGCGTTCTTTCTGCCCTCCAAGAGAAGGCACTGTCTATTCTTTATTTCTTTTCAGGAGAGGTAGCCCTGGTTTCTTCAATGATCCCTTATAGTTTATCGTTTCCAGACTCCTCTTCATCTCACTCACTTGCCTCTGGATTTCCCAAATACATTATTTTTCTTAAAGTGTGGTGCCCATAATATGAAACTCTTACCTCCTCTGATCTGTATACTGCAAATCTACTAACTCAGTTGAAAGTACATTTGCATTTTCAGTAATTGCATTTCATTATTGGCTCAGGCTAAACTTTTGGAAGCCCCAGGTCTTTTGCATATGAATAATGTTAGGTCTTTGTCACATTACTGCAATTGGTCATTTTCACTTGGATGCAGGAATTTAGTATTATTAATATTTCATTTTACCTTATCGGCTCTAGTTTGTCATTCTTGCCTATTGAAGCAATGTAGAATTCTGACACTCTTGTCTATTTTATTGGTTATCCACTTTAGCTTCATGTAGTGATAACAGAGGCAGGTTTTATTAAGTTCTGGGGAGCCTGGCAGAGCAGAAAGACTTTCAGAAGTTCAGGTCCATCTCTGCCTTCTCACTTCAGCTGGTAATATCCTCCCCCGACACATCCCATTTGCTTTGCCTGAATATAAGTAATCCTCAACTATAGACAGAGTTCAAGCTATTTCTCTTGGCATTTCTTTGCCCACGTCAAACAAGGGCTAAGTCTAGACACCTGTTTGGATGTGTTCTGTGTTACGTAAAGCAAAGCGGATGGATACCCTACAGTGGCTAAGAGCTCTGGCCCGCTACTCCAGAGGAATTTGAATTGGAGAAATTGTTATAGAACAGCTTTCCCACACCAGAGATAGGAAAGAGAGGTGACTTTGGTACTGAGAGAAAAGAAGGAAAGAGAAGGAATAAGATGAAGAAATATTGAAGGGAGACAAAGAGAAGGGGAAGGGAGGGAAGAGGAGGCAAAAATGGAGCCGAAAGGAGGAAGCTTTTGGTGCTACAGGGCCCACCTCATTCATGCTAGCCTGTGCCCTGGTGGACCTATGTCTTACACGCACCCTGACAGAAGCTGGATGGCAGCGCCCAGCCACACTGCGTGGCAAGCATTGTCTTCTAGTGTTGAGATAGCTTCACAAAGAGCTCCAGGAATCCCACTGCCAGAGGTCATGAACTGGGCAAAATGGTGCTCTTTCCAGAAAAAAAACGTGGAGTCTGCAGGAGAGAATTATGGATCAACAAACCAGAGTCCAGTAAAAGAGAAAAGTGAATCTGGAGAGAATTGAGGAAGACATTTTAATGGAAATTTTCAAACATATGGCAAAACAGAGTAATCTAATAAACCTCCCTGTGCCCAACACGTAGCTTCAATAACAGTTAGCTCACACCCAAGCCGGTCTCACCTAGACCCTTACCTGCATCCCCTACTAGCTCGCCCCACTGGGCGGTTCTGAAGCAAATCCCAGACCTCATTCCATTTCCTTCATATAAACTCCAAGGGAAAGTAAAACTTAAAGAAAAGCAAAAGTAAAGCTACTGAAGAAAAATTTGAAGGGCCCAGTGGGGAAAGGAGAAAAGAAATTCATCCCTAGGAATTATTCTCAGATTTTGGTAACATTTTACTTTGTAAATAAGACATAAGATTCCATTACCACTCCTTTTTATTAATACTACAGCAGAAATCAGACAGTTCATAGGGAAACATGACTGATATTGGGGGGAAATCTACCCACCCCATAGGGTTAAACATGAAAGAAACATTTGAGCTGTGTTGGTCCGTGGTGACAATGTTTTTTAAAATATATGGGCTGTGACCATATTTTTAAAGTTTGTATTTATTTTGCTTCGTTCCATGAGATGTAAACTGGGATATTCAGTTATAAAACAGCATTTTATGGCTTCTGGGTAATTCCCCAAGAGAGGAAAATAAAGTTTCTTTGCCTCCAAAAAAGTGATAAATGTTTAATGAAACATCTAGACCTTTCCCCCTTAAAGTTTAGGCATGACTTTAGAATATTTTTATAAGCATCTGATATCTTCCACCTGAATTTAGCTGATGAATCAGAGCCCAGGTACGGGTCTGGAAAAAGGAAAAGAAATACGTGAGGTTCCCAAAGCAGGATTTGCTCTTTAGTGCTGGGAATTGCCAATCAAATGAGAGCTGTGTGCCTAGGAGGTTCATGAATTGCCTCCAAAGAACAAACCCCACTCGGAAACTACGGACGAAGGTTCAGAATGTCATCCTTAGCTCCAATTGCTGGCTACTTAAAAAGTATGACTATTTTCTCTTTCACACACATACACAGGCACATCCACATACACAGTCCATAAAGGGTTTTCCAGCATCAGGTGGCTTTTAACTTAACTAGTTTCAGGGAGGTATAAAACAAACTGGAAACAAATATGTGAGATGTCACTTAGAATAAAACAAAGATTTCCAAGCAAAAGAGGAAAAATCTTGAAAAGGCATAGTTAAGATTTCACCAAAGCTTAAACCTTTCTCAGTGAGCTCTAGACCCGCGAGCCCCTGATGCAGACAGTCCTGCCCCACCGCCTTCGTCCGCGGTGACTTCCTCTCCGTGTAGCGTGGCTGGTGAGAGTCGTGGCTGTGAACACCCGCATCGCAATGGGCACGCCATCCTCAAGGTGCGGACTTGCCCCCTTTTCGCCCCTTTTATTTCCTGTTATGGTGTTATTTGCTGCCTTATTTTTATACCTCTGGTTTTCATTTAATAAAAGTCAGAAGTAATAGACTGTAAATCTCTTTATGTTCTATGCGGCTGGGCCAGCCAATCCTCAGCCCCTACCTGAGACCTCTCCTGCCAAAGCCCACGGTTCCAGCCCCAGGGGAGGGCAAGCCGGGCGGGGAGGCAGGGAATGGAGACTTTTTGCCCGGGGCCTGTTAACCTGAGTATACTTTCTCCTTCTCGGGTTTGTTTTCTCAGCTGGTGGCACACGCTCTGCTCCAGCACCACTAGGCCTAGTGGAAAACGGCTTCCTCCAAGATCTAACGGTCCATTTTAAAGAAGTGGTTTGGAGTTCAGAAGAAGGGAGCTCAGTTATAGCTCTGTGCCCAGCTTTCTCTGTTTTTCTTAGTCCATGGAAATAGGAGATGTGTAAATAGTTCATATTTCACATTCCACCTGTACCAAAATCAGCCAAGGCAGACAAGGCTGGCTCTTTAGACCCTCCTGCACTTCAACCATTAGTGTCTTCCCACACTCTCCTTAAGTCCCCATCACCCGATTTTCTACCAATTCCCCGCCACACACGCACACTTGTTCACATCCCAAGGGAAAATATGTCTTTTCCTGAAATCATCCATCCTTACAACATCCTATGATGCGTTGACTTTTCTGTTCTGAGCCCCAGCTTGACATACCAATGGGCATCCTTGTAATTATCGGCACTCAGAGGGGGGTTTATTCCTCTTTTTTTCTCTAACCAAACATTAGCAAAAGTTGGCCTCGAAGAACCTAGCTGACAGCTCTCAACTGGGAACTGAAGAGGAGAGACATCAGGACGTTTGCGGCAGCCTGAGAAGGAACGCACCTGTCCTCTGTGGGTGTCCTCTGACCCACATCTTCCCTTTTTTTTTAAAACCTCAGCTGGAAAATGGCCCTAGAGCTTCCATGGGCAAAGAGTCCCCCGCCTGTCATGGAGCAGACACTCAAACAGGTCCCTTGCTTGAAGATTACTGTGAAAGGAATGAATGAGTGATTAGCGATGGCGCGGACCAGCTCTGTAAAACCCCTAATGACAGAAGGGACAGAGGAACATGTTCCACCTGCCTTCAAGCTCTCCAGCTGTTACTGACACCTACACAGAGGCCAGAGCTAGATGGCCTTCAGGGGTATTTTGAGATGAGGTAGAACCTGCCCCGTTAAGCAGCAGCCCTGGCCTCAGGCCAGGCCCAGAGGAAACGTGTTGGGAGCCAGGAATGCCCAATTCCTATTCCAGGGGCCTCTTTCCCTGCTAGAAACGGGAAGGAGGAGGAGGAAGCTTCTCTGTGTCTTAGAGTCTCAAGGGTCAGTGAAGTATCTTGAGGAAAGAAATAAAGAAGAAGGAAGGAGGGAGAGTAAGCAGGGAACGGCAGAGACGATGTTGAAGAGAAGGACGGAGACGTCCCCCGGGACCGTGAGGTGGGCCCTCCTTGTTGCCATAACTCCAGCTGCTAATTTCCAGTTGTCAAGATTCATCTCCCAGAAAAGTAAAAGCTGAAAAGAACGTGTAATCTTCTTGAGAGAGACCCCACAGTATCTCCAGATGTTTTGGGTTATTCTGTGGTGAGGGGAAAAGGCCTAGGTTGAGAGAAGCAAATATGTTCATTCTTTGAAAGGAGGAAGGTCACCAAGTGGGAACGGTTTCCAGCCTTTGGAAGTATCGCATTTCAGCAGAAGGAGCCAGGAATAAGATATCATTTGTTACCTTTGCTAATCCATTAAGTAGACATTGGACAGCTGAGCTATTATTTGGAACTCTCTGCTATGTATCCTCTAACAAGGAAACAGTGTCCTGCTGAGTTTAGGTGTGGTGTGCGCTAAGGCGACATAAAACTTTCAGCAGCTTTCGATGAAGCTGATTTTTATTTTAGGGAACAGCACACACTGAATCAGTAGGAGAGATTGAAACCGCGGCCTTCCCTCCCCTCATCAGGAAACGCATTATTAGTAAATTACTGGATGCTTTAAACGGTTTATGGTGACGTTTTAAATCAAATCTACCCCCAGAAATAGGGTTTGTATTGAGCATGTGTGTGGTGGGGTTTTCTCCCTAAATGCAGTACCTCAGAATCATTGCAAAGGAGCGATGACATCCAGCTTCTCATTCTCCTGATAAAAACACGGAGGTCTGGGGAGGGTCAGTGACTGCATGAGAGCACAAGCTAACGTGGCGGCAGGGCCAGGACTGGAGCTGTGAGTGGTGTTTCAGAGTGCCAGCTGTCGCCCGGGCAGAACACGCATGGACCCAGGAACCACGTGATGGTCCTTGCCACTCCAGTGCCTGCCTGTTGTCTGCACCTTACCTGGGCTTTGGGCTTAGGTCAGCAGCTCTGTCTTCCAGCATGGCTTCTGTTTCTAGTTTGAGCAACACTGAAGGACCAGGGGCAGGGGCGGCCCCGAGCCCAGTGCCAGGTCCTGTGTGGAATAGAAAGGTGTGTGAGCTGCGGATGCTGGAAGCCTGACCCCACCATGACATCGTTCTGCATGACTTGCAGGTGATTCACACAGACCAGCCAGCACTGGCTGCTGCACCGTCCTTCCTCATTCCCATGACACAGCACAGGCCATGGCAGGTAAAGACAGAGGGCAAATTGAAAATACAGGTTAAAAGGCTCCTTTTCATTGAGTCCTGTTCACCTGACAATGACCCGTTGAGTAGGAAGTGTGGGGCTGACAGGTGGAGTGAGCCTAAGGCTAAGCCACAAGCGAGGGGCCCAGGCTGGGCCTGGAGCATGGTGTCGCCAGCTTCGAACCCTGCCCAGACAGCCGTGTCTCCCACGCCTCCTCAAAGAGGGCCTCTGATGCACAAGTGCTGTTTTGCTTGGCCAGCATAAGTTCCCTCTTCTGCTAACAGCCCCTCAGGTTTCCTGTGGGCCTGACTGTACCCTAGACTCAGGCTTTTGGAGGGTTGGCTGGACACCAAGCTCCTGGCGGGGTGCAGGGGCATTCCACCTGCCTTGCCTTGGTGATTGGCTCAGCGGGGCGATCATGATCCCAGCTGGGTGCAGAGACGCTGTCATGAAGAGAAGCTTCCTCTTTCTGCTGGAACTGCCAGCCATAAAGGTCAAGTAAGTCCTGAGCTTTCAGTTTCCCCCTGAGAGCAAAGCCACCAGGTAGGAAAGCTGAGATACAGAGGGCAGCGGGAAAGGGAGAGACCAAATCCGAATGACCGCATCCTGGAAGGCCTGGGATTCAATTGTGCCCCAGATTGAATCCAACACTGTTCAGTAGGTTCCCATTCTGCCTAAGTCAACAGTTACATTTCTGTCACTGCATCAAATACCAGGTTCATAATTCCAGTGTCCACATAGGGCTATGGGAAAAAACAGGAAAACTCTGAGGCAATTGCCAGTAAAGAATGTAAGCCTAATCGCATTCCACCAAGAGTTCTCCCAAAGCCCCCCTGCAGCCTTGCACTCGGGAGAGCCTCATTTAGCAGTGGAGACACACAACAGTGGCTGCCTCCATTTTGCTCCCTGCTTTGAATTGAGCATGAATTGTGCCATGATGGGGTGCACAGAAGGTAGGGCCGAAGAGCAGAGGCAGACCACCCAGCTGAGCCTGGGACAAAAGACAGCTCTCAAGACAGTTTGCAGGATGAGGGAGAACAAGAAGAGGAACATTTGGGGAGCAGGGGAGATGAAAAGCCCACTTTTAGAAATATGAAATTTTGGGCTATCTGCAGGACATCTGAGTAGTCATGTCCACTCAGGATGTAAAACGCAATTCTTAAAGTAATGGTGGACAGACATATGGGTCGGAGATACCAAATTTGTAGTCAACAACATTTGGGCAGTGGGGTTGGGGGAAGGTAGAAGGAGAGGTAGGGTTAGTTAAAACCATGGACACAGATGGATGAGGCTGCCCAGAGACAAGATGAGAGAGGAAGACGACACAGCCAGCCCTTGTGGGACAGCAGCCTTTAAAGGGCAGGACTGGGAGTGGGAACCAGGAAGGAAAACAAAAAGAAATGGTCAAGAATGAGAAGAAAAAAAAAACCAATGGGAAATGTCACTGAGGCTAAGCAAGAGAGTGTTTCCAAAAATAAAAGCCATTGAAAAAACCAAATGCCATGGAGATCAAAGAGAAGAAAAGCTGGGAAGGATCCCTGGGATTTAGTGGCCTTCTGCAGAGCAGCTTCATTGGTGTGACAGTGGCATGGACCACACCAGACACACTGAGCTGTCCCTTTCCTGAAGCGTCCTGCCTCTCTCCAAGAGTTCTGTGTGTTTCTCTCTCTCTCCTCCTCCTTCCCTGAGCCCCATACTTGTCTCTGTGTCTCCTCGTTGTGCATGCCTCCATGACCACGCTTAGTACATTCCAGGGAAATGATTCCCTTTGCATTTTTCTTTCTTACCAGACCATGAGCTCCTCCAAGCCAGGGACTCTGTGACTCATCTTTCTCTTTTAAGCATTGAACTTTGGTATCACTTACATCTGACAAAACGCACACATCTTAAGTAAGCAACTCAACTGATTTTTAGACACGCATCCACCTGGGTGATCCCAGCTAGATGAAGACATACAAGTTTCTAGAACCCGAGACCCCTGCCCCATGACCCCTCCCAGTTGACACTATTCTGACCTCCATCGCCAGGAATTAGTTTTGCCCAGTTTTGAACTTCATAGAAACGGAGCCATGGAGTCTGTACTCTTTGGAGCTGTCTGCTGTCACTTGACCTTTTGTCATCGTATTGCAGGTAACAGTAATCTGCTCCCTTCCACTGCTCTGTGTTGAATGAATCTACCATAATTTACGTGTCCACGGTTCTGTACGCAGACACGTGAGTTGTTTCCAGATTGTGCTGTTAAGAACAAGGCTGCTATGGGCACTCTGGTCCATCTCTTTAGTGGACATAGAACTCATGCTGGGAGGGACATGCTCCGGAGCCTGACTGGCATCTGATCGTTTCAGTACTCTCTCCTCATCCTATACATGGGGCCAATAGAGTAGACACCTAATAAGTAAAAATCACCCTGAAGTCATAAGCAAGTTTTCAGCAAATCTCTTACAGGAAGTTACAGTTAAAGCCGTTTCATAGGGTCTTTGTGGTATCATCAACAAATATTTTTGATTCAGTTTCCAAAAGCTCATGAGTAGGCCAAAAGATCAATTAGCAGACAACATCAGCCCCTCTACTTAAAGAAGTCATAATACAGGCTCATATATGTATATATATATATATATATTCAGTAGATAAGGTGAACAGCTTTTGTAATGAATAAGATAGCATATGAAGAATTTGTCTTCAAAGAAGACTCAGAAATAGGATCTGCAGTTTCACCAAGGGGAGAGATGAGACATGTACTCTACTCTAGGTTGGAAGGAGGGCCGGGTCAATGTAACTATTATTTTGCACAAAAAAATATGCTTGGGCAGGAATGGGGCCTCAGCAGGTGCCTCAATAAGTACCCCAGGAATGAACCTCACCAATCAAGATACCAAATTTGGGGGCTTACTTGTGAGATTCAGTTTTCACTGGTTAGAAGAAGTAAGCACTCCGGGAAAGCCAAGGAAGCAGGAGAAACCAGCCTTCGTAGTATGAAGAATGACATCAGGAAATGCCAGAGTTTCAGACTGTCACTATGTCCCCCTATCCTCACCCCCACTTTGAGGGGCAGAATTTGACCACAGGCTTGGCCTGAGTTTGCATAAAAAGAAGTGAAATCTTACCTGAAAGAAAGGATAAAAGGAACTGCAAGACACTGCAACTTCCGGTTTGGATGCAAGCCTTTTTCTTCATTCCACTTTCCTCCTTCTCCCAGGCCTCTGCCCAACCCATCACCCCAAGGCAGGATGCAAATCCAAATTTGAAGCCAATAGGATTTACTGGTGTTTTTCTGAGTGGCCTCCGTCCCCTTGGAACACTTTCCAAGAGGGAGGGAAATGACTATCTGCCTGCCCTGCTTAAAGTATCCATGCAAAATGAGGAGAGAAATAATTTAATCACAGGTGCTGGTGAGGGTGAATTGAAGGCCATCAATCCTCTGTGGCTGGCAGGCGCAGATAAGAAACAGAGGACATGTGTGGGGGTGGAAATGAACACAAGCGAATATCCTTTGCTTTCTCAGGCAGGGTCTGCCCCAGAGGGAGCAAACTAATGTGTCTCCCTGAGCATCCAACTCCTCTCATTCAAGTGTCAGCTTAAATACAATGACACACTCATTTGCTTCATGGTCTCCCATTAATAATATATGAGAGTTTCTGTAGAAAGCCTGAAAAAAAACTTTATGGGAAACGATGACAAGAGTTTTCACCTGTAGTTCAAGGATGTGTGAACTGGTGACACGGGGGCAAACAAGGAGTGAGTAGTGTACTCACTGGTGTTGGGGACACTGGCTCCTGTGATGCCTGCACCTGGACAGTTCAGAAATCCCAGTGGGAATCTCCAAAGAGGCACAGAACCATGCCAGGGGGCACCATTTACACTGAGAGCCAGTGAGGAACAGAACGGGAATGAACGTCATCACATCACTGTCTGAACATTGGCCAAGTGTCCTGAGATACCCAGAATGCTACTGAATTTTAAGTAGGTTATTTCATTGTCTTGGTAAATGTACTCAGAAGTGTCAGGGTTAGAACTCCTATGTTTTGGAGTTTTGAATATGTATGTACAATGTAAGCACACGAGATGGAAGGCAAGAAAGGGAAGTGGCTGCAGAAGTTTGAGAACCAACCACATCCCCAAGAAACACTCACCCATTGAAGAATGGTGGGAACACAGCACCTTCTCTATACACTGGGAGTTCTAATGGTCAATACACTCTGGTTTAGCACTTCACTAGAAATTCTTAGAAAATGTAGATTTAACTAAATTAAAAGTTTCCCCAAAGGCAAGCACACAACAGGGCATAAAGTAAATGATGAATAAATAATTTTTTATTTGATCCAACAGTCCCTTCCTTTCCTTTTATCATCTTAATTCACATACACTGAAGGTCTGATTCCTGAAGAATTAATCTTCTATTAAGGAAAATACAGTTTCGAATAGCACCAAAAACATTTATTTCTGGTCCCCACTTTCTCTTCCTTGTTCAGCCTGTCTGATCTCCCAGAGCAATAATACTGCTGACTCATTGGTACCTCCAACCCAGCGATCCAGGCCGTCTGTGGCCCACACCCATGTGATGCCCTTGAAGCTTAGTTTACATTCCATGGTAAATCGGTATAATCACTTCTTTGCACATATCCTCAGCTTCCTTGCTTCTTCTGGCTTGGTCACGCTTCCTTAACAAAAATACAATCTCAATCATGTCTTAACTCTCAAGAAACTCGACTCTACTTCCCTGAGAACATCACAGCACCCAGAAGAGAATGCTTACACTCCCACACCTCACCCACCCATTTCCCAGCATCTGTACCCATGCATTCTGCCTTCCTTCCTTTATTGCAGATAAATTGTACAATCTCCTGCTAAAGCAAAGCTCTCTATTTGCACTGTCCAGCCCATATCCTCAGGTCTACTCAAAGGCATTGCTCCCTGTCTCCTACATCACTATGTTTTCCCATTCAACCAGATTATCAGCATACAATCATACTACGCTTTCTCTCACTATAAAGTTTCACAGCCAGTTCTCAGTCCTCATCTTACTTGACTCATCAGTAGCTCCAGACATGGCCAATCACTCCTTTCTCCTTGATTCTCTTTCTTCATTTGACTTTCAGGACACCTCACTCCACTTTCCCCCCCACTTCACTGGTCTTTTCCTTCCCATCTTCACTGCTGGCTCCCCTCTACTCCCTGACCTCAGGTGTTGGAGTTTCCCAGAGCCATGTCTTGGCCTCCACCCTCTCTCTATAGACACTCCTTCCCCTTGGGATCTCATCCAGTCTCACAGCTGTAAACAGTATCTATATGCCAATGACCCTCCCTAGTCCACACCTCTCTCCCAAACTTCAGCGATCCACTCCACAGACCCCACAGATGTCTGATAAGCATGTCAACTTCAATGTGTCCAAAATCAAACTCTCAATCTTCCCTCCCCAACCAGCAGCCTTTCCCGTTTCAGTTGATGCTGACCCATCTCTAGAGTTGTTTATACCTCTTTCTTTCTCTTCTATGCCTCATCCTAACCTATGGGGAATTCTGACTCTACCTTCAAGATATCCCCAGGACCAAACTCTTCTCACCACCTGCCCTGCTGCTACCAGGTCCAACCCACTGTCATCTCTTGCCTAGATTCCTGCAATTACCTTCTAATAGATTCCCCCACTCCTACCCCACCTCCAGATCTACTCTCAAGGCAAGAGCCAACATTATCCTCAGAAAATGTTCTGCAGGTTATTCAGTCTTCTGCTGAGCACTCTCAGATGGCTTTCTGTGGCCCTCTGAGCAAAAGCAGAAGTCACCCATCCCAACCTACTCAGCTCCCATCATTCCCTCTTTGACCTCACCTGACCTTTCTCCTTAGTATTGCAGCCTGTCCCTACTATGACCCTCCATTGCCTGCCCTCTGGTCTATTTTTCTCCCGTCACTGCCCTCACCACCTTCTCATTGATCGTATAATCAATGTATTATCTGCCTTCCTTCACTGGAATATGAACTCCGTGGGGCAGGGTCTTTATTTTGTTCCCTGTTTTCTCCAAACATCTAGAACAATTTCTGCATGCCATAGGTGTCAACTTTCTTGGACCCACTAAACCAACTTTTTCTGAAGTCGTGTTTGTGCTTGTGGAAATGCAGATCAGGTCTCCCAGAATCCAGGAAGCAGATGGCCTGGGAGTGAGGGTGGGGCATCTGCACATTTAACAAGCTCTCAGGTCGTGCATATCCATGTGGAGTATCCCTGAGAATCACATGCGAAGTCTCTTAATGTCTTTTTAGATTCTGTACCCTTTCTTTAAATGTCAGTCTACAGGTTCCTAATCGATCAGACAGATAAATCCATGTGTAAGCAGACAGAGGTGGAAGGAGGGTCCTTGGAAACCCCGTCTCCTTGTAGTGGCCTCTGAGGGGAAAGGGCCATTCCCCAAGGCTTCATAGAATGAAGACATCTGGTGTAATGTGTAGCGCAAGCCTATTGCTTTTAGGAAATTTTTATTAACGTTAACTTTTTACTGACTCAATTCTCCTGATTGAATTAGACTGCACTAAAATTTAGAATGAGCCTAAAGATGCTAAAATATAAAACTCCCCTCTGGAAATGCAACTTTTCTCTCTCTGCTGCCCCCACTGTCACCCCCACCCAACCTGAGCACAGCTCCTGTCCCTCCCCACTCTGTGGAGGCTGCTGCATTCTGACAGTCTCAGTAGCTTTCTTTACCTCTTGCCACAGGAATCTTCTGCTGCCCTGGCCCATGCTGACTTCAGCCCCAGATCACCCTGATTCTCTCTTTTCTCCATTCCTCTTCCTCGATTTCCCAAATACTACCAAAGTAAATGATGCACCCATGTGGATTGGCTCCATTGCAAATTAATGTTTTTGAGTCTGGACTGGAACCACAGTCCTGCACGATAGCTTACTTGGTCATTGGAGGTCAGTCCCCCTTCCCTTCCCTTCTCCAGTGAAGGCTACACCCAACTTTGCCTACTCTCCTCAAAGTGACAACGCCCTTACACCTCTTAATAAATACCATTCCCTTCTGAGTTGACAGAGAAAACAGATGCTATCTGGCACATACTCCCTCAATTCCCCTCTACTTTTGGACTAACCTTACTAATGTTTTCATGGTTGTGGTTTCAAAAAGATGTCTTCACTTCCTTTCAAGATAATTCTTCCCATGCCCTTCATTCCATCCCCCCAGTTCTCCACTGGAATGTGCCCTCTGTTGTATCTTCTGCCTCTTTCTTTCTACTATCCCTACCTTTCAGCCAGAGGAAAAGAAATACAAAAAGAAAATACATCAACACTGTCAACTCTGTGCCCCCTCAAACTACTTGTCCCATCTCTCTCTCTCTATTCTTCTCCAAAGTCTATGAAAATATTCTAAATGGCCACCACTACAGTCACACCTCCTGTTTCCTCCTCAACCAGTTTAAAATAACTTTTGCCCCTGTCTTTTCAAGAAAATGCTTTCTCAAAAATGAGAACTCTTTTTTATTTTTAGCTCCCACATATGAGTGACATCACAAAGTGTTTCTTTTTCTGTGCCTGACTAATTTAACTTAGCATAACGTCCTCCAGGCTCATCCATGTGGCTGCAAATGACAGGGTTTCCTTCTTTTTATGACTGAATAATATTCCACTGGGTGTTTAAAAGTTGATATCATAGAAGTAGAGAGTAGAATAGTGGTTACCGGAGGCTGGGAAGGGAAGCGGGTAGGAGGGTTATGGAGAGGTTGGTTAATGGGAACAAAATTACAGTTAGATAAGAGGAATAAGTTACAGGATAGTAGCATAGTATAGCATAGTAGGATGACTATAGTTAACAGTAATTTATTGTATATTTCAAAATAGCTAGAATGGAGGATATTGAATATCCTCAATACAAAGATACAATAAATATTTGAGGTGATAGGTATCCCAATTACCCTGATTTGATCATTACACATTGTGTACATGTATCAAAATATCGCATGTATTCCATCAATATATATAATTATTCTGTGTCAATCAAAATTTTTTAAAGTTAAAAAATGAGAAATCTTACTTCCACACTGCATCCTTAACACCTAACCCAGTGACTCTCATATAGTAGATTTTATGAATATTTGTTGAAAAAGCAGTTCCTAATGATTTCCTAATTTCCAAATACAACAGCCTCTTGTCACTAAGCCTGGTCTCTCCACCACCCTACAGTCTAACCTCCACACATTACAGTGAGAGGTCTTTTTAAAACATGCATCAGATGGGATGAATAGACTTTAAAGTGACCTCCACGACCCCCACCTCCTAGTATTCAGGTTCTAGTTCATCCCCCTTGAGCGTGAATGAAATCCGTGACTTGCTTCTAACCAATAGAATATGGCAAAGGTGTTGGAAGGTCACTCTTATTACAACGTTATGTTATAAAAAACTATGTCTTGCCAGCAGCCTCTCTCTGGAGTCTTGTTCTCCTTGTTGACTTTGAAGAAGCAAGTCACCAGAAATAAGTGAATTCTGCCAACAACCTAAGGGAGCTTGGAAGTGGACTCTTCCTCAGCTGAGCCTCCAAATGAGAACAAAGCCCAGCTGACACCTTGATCACAGTCAGGAGGGAGGCTGTGCCACCCTCCTACAGAACTCTTAGAAGAAAACTTAGGAGGAAAACACCATGGCATTGGACTTGGCAAGGATTTCCTGAATATGACACCCAAAGTACAGGCAACAAAAATAAAATTAGACAAATTGGACTACATCAAAATTAAACATTTCTGTGCATCAAAGGACACAATCAACAGAGTGAAAAGGCAACCCCTGGAATGAGAGAAAATATTTGCAAATCAGACACCTCGTAAAGGATTAATAGGCAGAATATATAAAGAATCCCTACAACTCACTACAACAACAGAAATAACCTGATTTTAAAAATGGACAAAGGATGCAAATAGACATTTCTCCAAAGAAGATTTACAAAGAGCCAAAAAATATATGAAAAGGTGTCCAATATCATTAATTATTAGAGAAATACAAATCAAAACCACAATGAGACTTTATACCAATTAGGATGATTACTATTTAAAAAAAAAACAGAAAATAACAAATATTGGCAAGGATGTGGAGAAATTAGAAATCTTGCCCACTGTTGATGGGATTCTAAAATGGTGCAGCTATCATAGAATTCAATATGGTAGTTCCTCAAAGTACTAAAAATAGAATTATCACATGACCCAATAATTTCACCCTTAGAAATATACTAAAAGAAATCAAAAGGAGGGACTGAAACAGGTTTGTATGCACCCATGTTCATAGCAGCATTGTTCACAATAGCAAAAGGTGGAAACAACTCACGTGTCCAACAACAGATAAATGGATAAAGAAAACGTGGAATATATGTATACACACACACACACACACACACACACACATAAACACACAATGGAATAGTATTCAGACTTAAAAAGGAAGGAAATTCTGACACATGCTACAACATGGATGCACCTTGTGGACACTATGCTAAGTGAAATAAGCCAGTCATGAAAGGACAAATACTGTAGGATTTCACTTATTTGAGGTGGAATTCGACTAGCAGTCAAATTCAGAGACAGAAAGTAGAATGGGGTTGTCGGGGATCTGGGGAGGGGAAATGGGAGTTATTGTTTAATGAATACAGAGTTTTCACAAGATGAAGAGTTCTGAAGATGGATGGTGATGATGGTTACACAACAATAAGAATACTTAACTCTGCTGAACTGTGCACTTACAATGGTTAAAATGGTAATTTTTTTTTTTTTTTTTTTTGAGACGGAGCCTCGCTCTGTTGCCCAGGCTGGAGTGCAGTGGTGTGATCTCAGCTCACTGCAACCTCCACCTCCCGGGTTCAAGCGATTCTCTTGCCTCAGCCTCCCAAGTAGCTAGGACTACAGGCATGCACCACCAGGCCCGCCTAATTATTGTATTTTTTAGTAGAGATGGGGTTTCACCATGTTGGCCAGGCTAGTCTCGAACTCCTGAGCTCAAGTGATCCACCTACCTCGGCCTCCCAAAGTGATTACAGGTGTGATCCACTGTGCCCTGCAAAGTGGTAAATTTTGTTATGTCTATTTTACCACAATTTAAAATAAGTAAATAAAAATCATTTACAGATAAAAGGTACATTCAAAATATAAAATACATCAATGAATTTTAAAGTAACAGAGTACCAAAAGTTTTTTTATATTGTTTCAGAATCTATGTTGCAATTAACTTTTAAAAATTATCATTTATTTAAATTTATGAAGACTCAAAGAATATTTATAATTATCCAAAAGACTATTTAAATACTTCTCCTTTTGCAACTACATATTTATGTGAAGCCAGATTTTCCTTATACGTTTCAACCAAAACAACATTTTGCAACAGACTGAATGCAAAGCGTGAATGAAAATCCAACTTCTTCTATTATGCCAGACATGACAGAGGTTTGTTTAAAAAAAAAAAATTGTGGAGGAGGAGCCAAGATGGCCGAATAGGAACAGCTCCGGTCTACAGCTCCCAGCGTGAGCGACGCAGAAGACGGGTGATTTCTGCATTTCCATCTGAGGTACCGGGTTCATCTCACTAGGGAGTGCCAGACAGTGGGCGCAGGCCAGTGTGTGTGCGCACCGTGCGCGAGCCGAAGCAGGGCGAGGCATTGCCTCACCTGGGAAGCGCAAGGGGTCAGGGAGTTCCCTTTCCGAGTCAAAGAAAGGGGTGACGGACGCACCTGGAAAATCGGGTCACTCCCACCCGAATATTGCGCTTTTCAGACCGGCTTAAGAAACGGCGCACCACGAGACTATATCCCACACCTGGCTCAGAGGGTCCTACGCCCACGGAATCTCGCTGATTGCTAGCACAGCAGTCTGAGATCAAACTGCAAGGCGGCAACGAGGCTGGGGGAGGGGTGCCCGCCATTGCCCAGGCTTGCTTAGGTAAACAAAGCAGCCGGGAAGCTCGAACTGGGTGGAGCCCACCACAGCTCAAGGAGGCCTGCCTGCCTCTGTAGGCTCCACCTCTGGGGGCAGGGCACAGACAAACAAAAAGACAGCAGTAACCTCTGCAGACTTAAGTGTCCCTGTCTGACAGCTTTGAAGAGAGCAGTGGTTCTCCCAGCACGCAGCTGGAGATCTGAGAACGGGCAGACTGCCTCCTCAAGTGGGTCCCTGACCCCTGACCCCCGAGCAGCCTAACTGGGAGGCACCCCCCAGCAGGGGCACACTGACACCTCACACGGCAGGGTATTCCAACAGACCTGCAGCTGAGGGTCCTGTCTGTTAGAAGGAAAACTAACAACCAGAAAGGACATCTACACCAAAAACCCATCTGTACATCACCATCATCAAAGACCAAAAGTAGATAAAACCACAAAGATGGGGAAAAAACAGAACAGAAAAACTGGAAACTCTAAAACGCAGAGCGCCTCTCCTCCTCCAAAGGAACGCAGTTCCTCACCAGCAACAGAACAAAGCTGGATGGAGAATGATTTTGACGAGCTGAGAGAAGAAGGCTTCAGACGATCAAATTACTCTGAGCTACGGGAGGACATTCAAACCAAAGGCAAAGAAGTTGAAAACTTTGAAAAAAATTTAGAAGAATGTATAACTAGAATAACCAATACAGAGAAGTGCTTAAAGGAGCTGATGGAGCTGAAAACCAAGGCTCGAGAACTACGTGAAGAATGCAGAAGCCTCAGGAGCCGATGCAATCAACTGGAAGAAAGGGTATCAGCAATGGAAGATGAAATGAATGAAATGAAGCGAGAAGGGAAGTTTAGAGAAAAAAGAATAAAAAGAAATGAGCAAAGCCTCCAAGAAATATGGGACTATGTGAAAAGACCAAATCTACGTCTGATTGGTGTACCTGAAAGTGATGGGGAGAATGGAACCAAGTTGGAAAACACTCTGCAGGATATTATCCAGGAGAACTTCCCCAATCTAGCAAGGCAGGCCAACGTTCAGATTCAGGAAATACAGAGAACGCCACAAAGATACTCCTCGAGAAGAGCAACTCCAAGACACATAATTGTCAGATTCACCAAAGTTGAAATGAAGGAAAAAATGTTAAGGGCAGCCAGAGAGAAAGGTCGGGTTACCCTCAAAGGAAAGCCCATCAGACTAACAGCGGATCTCTCGGCAGAAACCCTACAAGCCAGAAGAGAGTGGGGGCCAATATTCAACATTCTTAAAGAAAAGAATTTTCAACCCAGAATTTCATATCCAGCCAAACTAAGCTTCATAAGTGAAGGAGAAATAAAATACTTTATAGACAAGCAAATGCTGAGAGATTTTGTCACCACCAGGCCTGCCCTAAAAGAGCTCCTGAAGGAAGCGCTAAACATGGAAAGGAACAACCGGTACCAGCCGCTGCAAAATCATGCCAAAATGTAAAGACCATCGAGACTAGGAAGAAACTGCATCAACTAATGAGCAAAATCACCAGCTAACATCATAATGACAGGATCAAATTCACACATAACAATATTAACTTTAAATATAAATGGACTAAATTCTGCAATTAAAAGACACAGACTGGCAAGTTGGATAAAGAGTCAAGACCCATCAGTGTGCTGTATTCAGGAAACCCATCTCACGTGCAGAGACACACATAGGCTCAAAATAAAAGGATGGAGGAAGATCTACCAAGCCAATGGAAAACAAAAAAAGGCAGGGGTTGCAATCCTAGTCTCTGATAAAACAGACTTTAAACCAACAAAGATCAAAAGAGACAAAGAAGGCCATTACATAATGGTAAAGGGATCAATTCAACAAGAGGAGCTAACTATCCTAAATATTTATGCACCCAATACAGGAGCACCCAGATTCATAAAGCAAGTCCTCAGTGACCTACAAAGAGACTTAGACTCCCACACATTAATAATGGGAGACTTTAACACCCCACTGTCAACATTAGACAGATCAACGAGACAGAAAGTCAACAAGGATACCCAGGAATTGAACTCAGCTCTGCACCAAGCAGACCTAATAGACATCTACAGAACTCTCCACCCCAAATCAACAGAATATACATTTTTTTCAGCACCACACCACACCTATTCCAAAATTGACCACATAGTTGGAAGTAAAGCTCTCCTCAGCAAATGTAAAAGAACAGAAATTATAACAAACTATCTCTCAGACCACAGTGCAATCAAACTAGAACTCAGGATTAAAAATCTCACTCAAAGCCGCTCAACTACATGGAAACTGAACAACCTGCTCCTGAATGACTACTGGGTACATAACGAAATGAAGGCAGAAATAAAGATGTTCTTTGAAACCAACGAGAACAAAGACACCACATACCAGAATCTCTGGGACGCATTCAAAGCAGTGTGTAGAGGGAAATTTATAGCACTAAATGCCTACAAGAGAAAGCAGGAAAGATCCAAAATTGACACCCTAACATCACAATTAAAAGAACTAGAAAAGCAAGAGCAAACACATTCAAAAGCTAGCAGAAGGCAAGAAATAACTAAAATCAGAGCAGAACTGAAGGAAATAGAGACACAAAAAACCCTTCAAAAAATCAATGAATCCAGGAGCTGGTTTTTTGAAAGGATCAACAAAATTGATAGACCACTAGCAAGACTAATAAAGAAAAAAAGAGAGAAGAATCAAATAGACACAATAAAAAATGATAAAGGGGATATCACCACCGATCCCACAGAAATACAAACTACCATCAGAGAATACTACAAACACCTCTACGCAAATAAACTAGAAAATCTAGAAGAAATGGATACATTCCTCGACACATACACTCTCCCAAGACTAAACCAGGAAGAAGTTGAATCTCTGAATAGACCAATAACAGGTTCTGAAATTGGGGCAATAATCAATAGTTTACCAACCAAAAAGAGTCCAGGACCAGATGGATTCACAGCCGAATTCTACCAGAGGTACAAGGAGGAACTGGTACCATTCCTTCTGAAACTATTCCAATCAATAGAAAAAGAGGGAATCCTCCCTAACTCATTTTATGAGGCCAGCATCATTCTGATACCAAAGCCGGGCAGAGACACAACAAAAAAAGAGAATTTTAGACCAATATCCTTGATGAACATTGATGCAAAAATCCTCAATAAAATACTGGCAAACCAAATCCAGCAGCACATCAAAAAGCTTATCCACCATGATCAAGTGGGCTTCATCCCTGGGATGCAAGGCTGGTTCAATATACGCAAATCAATAAATGTAATCCAGCATATAAACAGAGCCAAAGACAAAAACCACATGATTATCTCAATAGATGCAGAAAAAGCCTTTGACAAAATTCAACAACCCTTCATGCTAAAAACTCTCAATAAATTAGGTATTGATGGGACGTATTTCAAAATAATAAGAGCTATCTATGACAAACCCACAGCCAATATCATACTGAATGGGCAAAAACTGGAAGCATTCCCTTTGAAAACTGGCACAAGACAGGGATGCCCTCTCTCACCGCTCCTATTCAACATAGTGTTGGAAGTTCTGGCCAGGGCAATCAGGCAGGAGAAGGAAATAAAGGGTATTCAATTAGGAAAAGAGGAAGTCAAATTGTCCCTGTTTGCAGACGACATGATTGTTTATCTAGAAAACCCCATCGTCTCAGCCCAAAATCTCCTTAAGCTGATAAGCAACTTCAGCAAAGTCTCAGGATACAAAATCAATGTACAAAAATCACAAGCATTCTTATACACCAACAACAGACAAACAGAGAGCCAAATCATGGGTGAACTCCCATTCACAATTGCTTCAAAGAGAATAAAATACCTAGGAATCCAACTTACAAGGGATGTGAAGGACCTCTTCAAGGAGAACTACAAACCACTGCTCAAGGAAATAAAAGAGGACACAAACAAATGGAAGAACATTCCATGCTCATGGGTAGGAAGAATCAATATCGTGAAAATGGCCATACTGCCCAAGGTAATTTACAGATTCAATGCCATCCCCATCAAGCTACCAATGACTTTCTTCACTGAATTGGAAAAAACTACTTTAAAGTTCATATGGAACCAAAAAAGAGCCCGCATCGCCAAGTCAATCCTAAGCCAAAAGAACAAAGCTGGAGGCATCACACTACCTGACTTCAAACTATACTACAAGGCTACAGTAACCAAAACAGCATGGTACTGGTACCAAAACAGAGATATAGATCAATGGAACAGAACAGAGCCCTCAGAAATAATGCCGCATATCTACAACTATCTGATCTTTGACAAACCTGAGAAAAACAAGCAATGGGGAAAGGATTCCCTATTTAATAAATGGTGCTGGGAAAACTGGCTAGCCATATGTAGAAAGCTGAAACTGGATCCCTTCCTTACACCTTATACAAAAATCAATTCAAAATGGATTAAAGATTTAAACGTCAGACCTAAAACCATAAAAACCCTAGAAGAAAACCTAGGCATTACCATTCAGGACATAGGCGTGGGCAAGGACTTCATGTCCAAAACACCAAAAGCAATGGCAACAAAAGCCAAAATTGACAAATGGGATCTAATTAAACTAAAGAGCTTCTGCACAGCAAAAGAAACTACCATCAGAGTGAACAGGCAACCTACCACATGGGAGAAAATTTTCGCAACCTACTCATCTGACAAAGGGCTAATATCCAGAATCTACAATGAACTCAAACAAATTTACAAGAAAAAAACAAACAACCCCATCAAAAAGTGGGCGAAGGACATGAACAGACACTTCTCAAAAGAAGACATTTATGCAGCCAAAAAACACATGAAGAAATGCTCATCATCACTGGCCATCAGAGAAATGCAAATCAAAACCACTATGAGATATCATCTCACACCAGTTAGAATGGCAATCATTAAAAAGTCAGGAAACAACAGGTGCTGGAGAGGATGTGGAGAAATAGGAACACTTTTACACTGTTGGTGGGACTGTAAACTAGTTCAACCATTGTGGAAGTCAGTGTGGCGATTCCTCAGGGATCTAGAACTAGAAATACCATTTGACCCAGCCATCCCATTACTGGGTATATACCCAAAGGACTATAAATCATGCTGCTATAAAGACACATGCACACGTATGTTTATTGCGGCACTATTCACAATAGCAAAGACTTGGAACCAACCCAAATGTCCAACAATGATAGACTGGATTAAGAAAATGTGGCACATATACACCATGGAATACTATGCAGCCATAAAAAATGATGAGTTCATATCCTTTGTAGGGACATGGATGAAATTGGAAACCATCATTCTCAGTAAACTATCACAAGAACAAAAAACCAAACACCGCATATTCTCACTCATAGGTGGGAATTGAACAATGAGATCATATGGACACAGGAAGGGGAATATCACACTCTGGGGACTGTGGTGGGGTCGGGGGAGGGGGGAGGGATAGCATTGGGAGATATACCTAATGCTAGATGACACATTAGTGGGTGCAGCGCACCAGCATGGCACATGTATACATATGTAACTAACCTGCACAATGTGCACATGTACCCTAAAACTTAGAGTATAATAAAAAAAAAAAAAAAAGTAAAACGATGCCACTTTACTGGGTTTCTGTGTTGAAAATACAGCAATTTTTCATAAAAACATCATTTATGTCAACATGTAATAGGCTTATGTTTATGTGAATTAATGAAAGATGTTTGCATATGAATTAAATATTTTAAATCTGCCCAGTTTGGGTTTCTAATATGGTAATTGTCTATAGGTACGCTCCACATAATGATAAACTATTTGGGGTCCTTGATAATTTTTTAAAGTGACAAGGGGCACTGAGCCCCAAAACTGTGAGAACTGCTGCATTCAGATGGCTGTATTACAGGGCATAGAGCATTTAATCTCCTCCTCTGGCTCCTCTGCCCCTGGAAGATGGCAGTTTTAATAGAGAGAATGTAGACAGTCCCATTCTGGGGGCCGGAAGGTTGAAGCCAGGACTGCTAGGCTGAAATCAAGGTGCCAGCCGTGCTGTGCTCCCTTCGGAGGCTTTAAGGGAGAATCTGCTCCTGCCTCTTCCAGCTTCTGATGGCTGCGGGGTCCCCGGGCCTGCAACTACATCCTCCAGTCTCTGCCTGTCTTCACCTGGCCTTCTCCTCTTCTGTCTGCGTGAAATCTCCTCTTATAAAGACACATGTAGATTGGATACCATTGTTTGATTCAGGTTGAGCAATCCCTTTATAATCATATTTGAGTCTTCTTTTGAAGTTGCAGCCCAACAGTGTCAATAAGAGATGTTTGAGCTGGGTGCCGTAATCCTAACACTTTGGGAGGCTGAGGCCAGAGGATCGCTTGAGGCCAGGAGTTCATTAGCAGCCTGGGGAACACAGGGAGAACCTGTCTCTACAAAAAATAAAAATTAGCTGGGTGTGGTGGTGCACACCTATAGTCTCAGCTACTCAGGAGGCTGAGGCACTTGAACCTGGGAAGTTGAGGTTGCAGTGAGCTGTGATTGCACCACTCCACTCCAGCGTGAGTGACAGAGCAAGACCATCTCTCTCTCTCTCTCTATATATATATATATATACACACACACATATATATATACACACACATATATATATATACACACATATATATATATAATCAAAAATTAAAATTAAAAATTAGCTGGGCATGGTGGCACACACCTGTAGTCCTAACTGCTAAGGAGGCTGAGGCAGGAAGATTGCTTGAGCCCAAGAGTTGGAGGCTGCAGTGAACTATGTCCACTCCAGCCTGGACAACAGAGCTAGATCCTGTCTCAAAAACGAATGAAAGAAAGGAAGAAAGAGAGAGAGGGAAGGAAGGAAGAGAGAAAGGAAGGGAGAGAGAAAGGAAGGGAGAGAGGAAGGAAGAGAGAAAGGAAGGAAGAAAGAAAGAGAGGAAGAAAGGAATAGAGAAAGGAAGGAGGAGAGAGAAAGAAAGGAAGAGAGAAAGGAAGGAAGAAAGAGGAAAGAAGAAGGAAGGAAGGAAAGAAAGAGAGAAAGAAGGAAAGAAAGAAAGAAGAGAAGGAAGGAAGAGAGAAAGGAAGGAAGGAAGAAAGGAAGGAAGAAAGAGAAAGAAAGGAAGAGAGAAAGGAAGGAAGAAAGAGAGGAAAAAAGAAGGAAGGAAGGAAGAGAGAAAAAAGGAAGGAAGGAAGGAAAAGAAAGAAAGAGAGAAACAGGAAAGAAGAAAGAAAGAAACAGGAAAGGAGAAAGAAACGTTTGATTTGTTCACAATCACAGTGTGCTTTGTGTTTGCTTTTCTAGTCTTTTCTTAATTCACAATAAAGAGATACTAGTAAGGATATGGATCCTGAAACCCAACTACCTAGGCTGAAGCTCAGCTCCATTTACAACTTATGTCGCCTCAGAAAACTTAGTTGTTCATTTATATTTCAGTCTCCTCATCCATAAAATGGGAAGGATAATATCCTACTACTTAGAATTGTTGTGAACAGTAAATGAGTCCACAGTTGTAAAACACTTACAAGAGCGCCTGGCACATAGTGAGCGTTATGTAAATGTTCATCGTTATTATTATATGAACAACCTTACCAAGAAGAAATTGAATGTGGTTTAAGGATGAGATCATTGGAATTGCAGTTGGAATTGGAATTAATACCACTGACATGATGGATATGGATGAAGCATTTCAGCTGTCCAATAAGAAGTCACGAGACACTGAGACCTGGGTACCCAACAAGACATCATTTTGCGTTTCCGCAGTAGAACCCGCACCTATTTTTCAGAGGTTTCCGGGCCATGCCGTTCTGCCCCTCCCACCCCAGAGCATCCCGCACAGCCCGAGGCAGCTTCTCTGAACAGTCTCCAAAGTCAGCCGAGTCACTTTGTAGTTTTTTGTTTTTTTTTTTTAATTCTTCTTTAGGCACAGCCTCTTTCTGAAAATGAATGGTGTATATTTACAGAGAAAAAAAAAAATGACAGCATGTTTTCTGTGAAGAGCCACATCATTTTTATTCCACTTCCTGTTTCCGCCATTTGGAGTATTTATAAAGTTTTCCATTTGATCCTTTTTTTTTTTTTTTGGACAGACTGCTTGTTTGGAAACAGCGGAGGAACAACAACTAAATAACATGGAGTGCGCAGGCACCGAAGCTATAAACAGCCTCATCAGCATTGCCCTCCTGCCCAAGGGTGGAATGAGCCGTATCTTGATTGAGACTCAAGGGGACAGGACCCTGAAGTGGCACAAAGAGCGAGCAGTGTGCGGAGCCCATATGCAGGCCCGAGCGGGGCAGACGACGCACAGCGCAGGAGGATTTCTGCTCCCGCCTGGAATTCATTTGCAGTCATTACCTTGTGGGTGCGAAGAGTTGCCCAGAAAACAGAGGATGGAAAGTAAGGGTTATCACAGACTATTAAATACTCTGCGGTTTCTATCCCAAAGGGATCCGGAAAGGGAAGGCTCTTAAAAAGCTGTCTCCAGATAGTCTTTTAAGAGAACCTGTTAGCAGAAGTCAAGCCCTCAATAATATGAGTAGTGAAGTGACAGAAAGCCCTAGAATGAAGGGAGGACGGTGACGATTGGACAGCAAATCCGAGGGTGCTTGTCTCAGGGACTTTGCCGACGGCCTGTTTCTCAAGGCACAGTGGCTTTCTGTTCCTGGAACAAGTGATTCAGTGCATTTCCCAGAATGATTTTTCAAGCTGGCTTCTTTGCTGGATCTGAGACCCAACCCGTCCGTTTATAACATGTTAATTTCAGGGCAGAGTGAAAGCCACCCATCCAAAGCTAGCCCAGAACCAAAATAGAACACAGTAATACAGAATGTTTTTGAGTTTTCCTGCTCGAAGCCCTTTCTGGCTAAAAGACATTCCCTATAGCTTGTAATTCCTCAAGGAAAAAAGCCTGATTGTATTGAAATCCCTGTGTGTTACATCATGGGATGCAGCTTGGTCCCCTTCTTTGTTGCTTGTTACTTAATCTGTCTTACCATTAAGAACAACAACAACAACAAAATACCTCTGGAGTTGGCTGCCAACCCTGTCACCACAGAAGAACAGGTGTCAGGACCACCCTAGTTAAGTCATGTGGTGCTAAGGGACTTGTTCATGGCAATGGTTTTTCCTTTTAAAAAAATACCTCCATGGTCATGGGTCGCACTGAGGTGACTGGAGGATGTCCGGCCTTTGCAGGCAACTCAGAAAAGGATGCAACTTCTGTGAAAGGTGGACTTGTCACGTGGGGTTGGAGCCATGGGTGACAACATGAATTGCCCCAGAATCCAGGAACTGGAGAGATAGGGAGCAATCTCCCTGGACAGCTCTCAAGGAGGATCAGGAAATGCTGCAAAACTTGCCATCAAGATGCACGACTAGCAAGGATGGCATTAGAAAGGGTTCCTGGGTGCAGTGGCTTGCACCTGGAATCCCAGCATTTAGGGAGGCTGAGACAGGGGGATCACTTGAGCCCAGGAATTCGAGACCAGCCTGGGCAACAAAGTAAGACCTCCATCTCTACCAAAAATAAAAAGTAGCCAAGCATGGTGGCACACACCTGTAGTCCCAGCTACTTGGGAGGCTACGGTGGGAGGATCTCTTGAGCCCAGGAGTTCAGGGCTGCAGCAAGCCATGATTGCACAACTACGCTCAGTCTGGGCAGCAGAGCCAGACCCTGTCTCAGAAAGAAAAAAAAAAAGAGGATTCTCAAGGCTGATAATACACAGGTGTTTGCATGCACGTGCTCAGGTACTCTCCTAGAAAGTACCTGAAAAACACACGAGAAAAGCTTTTCGTAAGATTTTATTCAAATCAGCAGTATAAAAGTCACAGCAGAGTATTTAGCCCTATTAAGTAATGGAGCCATTTATCATAGTAAAGGGAAGGGAATTGGGGGTTAGCCTACTTCTAAGCATTTCATTCAAGGGAGAAAGATGAGGGAAAACACATAATATATCTTAGGAACAGTAATGTCCTGTTATTGTTAAAAACTGCTGGGACCTCATTAGAACTTATGAAAACATCATCTATAAGTACTGAAAGGCAATAAATCTTCGGCAGCCAAAAAAAGAAAGTGGGCAATGGGAGGGAAAGGCAAGAGGGAAGAAAAAGAGGGAGAGAAGAAAAAGAAAAATAAAACAAAGAAGAAAATTACCATCTATCTGTGGTCTTCTCACTACGCTAGGAGCCAGCACTTTCCATGTTTGCCTGCCAGCTGGCTTCCCAAAGTGACCGTGTAAATTTGGCAGCTTGATGCCAGTGGACCAGGTAGGAGACTATATTAAATATTTTAAAATAATTATTGACAATTAATAAAATGTTTAGAATAGGTTTTTTCTCTTCACTTTTCATACTATAACCTCTCAGTGATCTTGGTTCCTTCCTTGGACGTGGAAATTCCTTTTGGTAAGCTTCATCCTGTGACTCAAGTCGAGCTAATTCTGAACGGAGCAGATATTGTACAGTAAGAGGTTCAGGTTGCTGCTTTGGGGTTAATGAAACATTGTCCCTATAGCCGTTATTCTTGGCACATGGCTGCAGAGCATCTTCCAGGCCAAATGCCTTTATAAGATTGCAGGGACTATGCAGCTCAATTGTTCTGGAATTGAGAAATGGTCACAGATAATAAGTAATCATCCTCTTTTTGCAAAATGGAAATCATTATAGCTTCAGCAGTGAACTAGGTGGAAAGAATCGACTGTCAGAACCTGCACAGTAACCACGTCAACAGAAAGTTGTCAGTAGAGAAAGAAATCTCTTGGTAAGTAGAGAGCACAGTATATTCTGTATTCCGTAAATGTAATCTTCTTTTTTCTATAAGAGAGATGAGTTGACTCCTCAACTGGCCAATCAGTATGAGGCTGCAAATTCTTCCCTATCTGGCTTTCATGTCTGGAGAGAAACATGCTCACCATTATTTGTACTTTTTTATTGTCTGCTGATCATTTTTAAAACATTTAACACTTCTGTAAATATACACTGCTTTCATAACTTAATATTAAATAAAAAGCTAAATTATTAAGTATTAAACAAAACTATGCATTTAACAAATTTGACCCTTCTAAACATTTAAGCATTAAATAATATAAAAAATTAATCAGATTCTTCCAAACATTTAAATGGCATAAGTCTTAGTGATGCTTTAAACATGTAAAAAGGAAACAAAATTATCATAATGAATACAAAACAGATCACTACACTTATACCCAAACTGGTTCACTAAAGACTTAATTCCGTGAATTTAAGTTTGCTTCTCCATTATTATTTTTATTTGTATTCTATTTTCTTTCTAGAATACAAACTTTACTCATTTAGCTAAGAAATCAAGACTTACCTTTCTAGACTAGCTATGACTGCGGATAGGAGTTTTGAGACTGAAGATAAGATTTTGGCAGCTTCCCAAGGAAATTGTTGCCAAGTCACTTACCCTGGTCCCTTATTAGAATTGTACTTGATCCACCACTTCAGAAGTTCTCCCCATCATTGGCTTTGGAAAATATGATGGGTTTTGACCTTTTGTGACCTTAATCATCTTGTCAATATCCAAATGGTGAGTATTTATCATGTCTTATCTTTATGGAATGTTCAGTACAAGTTCCTTTTTCAGCTTTTATTCTAAGTAAGACCTGGTCTGGTGTATTTAAGTCTAAAGCCTTGGGTTGATTTGGGTCACTGAAACATTGTAACATTTCTTTCTCATCAGCCATTAAGATCCATAATATTGGTGGGACACAGTGGTTCACACCTGTAATCCCAGCACTTTGGGAGGACGAAGGGGGCAATTCACTTGAGGTCAGGAGTTCGAGACCAGCCTGGCCAACATGGTGAAACCCCGTCTCTACTAAAAATACAAAAATTAGCCGGGTGTGGTAGCACAAGCCTATATTCCCAGCTTCTCGGGAGGCTGAGGCAGGAGAATTGGTTGAACCCAGGATGCGGAGGTTGTAGTGAGCCAAGATCGTGCCACTGCACTCCAGCCTGGGAGACAGAGTGAGATTCCATCTCAAAAAAAAAAAAAATCCATAATATTGACATAAAGATGCCAGCAAAAACCCAATAGCTATTCTTCATCTGCCTTTGTGTGTAGGAAGCTGGGACAGCACAATTCTGATGGTATCCTTCACGCCTTTAGGGGCCCAGAGCTGCCTATCTCTTCCACCTTCCTCTTTACATGTAGACCTGATTAAATAGTGCAACATTGAAAACAGTAAGCAGAACATTGCTCAACAAAATTGAGGAACCCAGCAAGAGGATCTCTTTAGGATATATTTCCTTTTAAACTTGACTTTGAGTGCATTATTCAGATTAAAGATGAGGACCACTCGACTATGACCATTATGAAGCTTTGCTACCACCTGTCTTATAATTTCAGCACAGTGGTTCTCTAAGTATGGTTCCCAGACTGGCAGCACCACCTGGGAACTTAGAAGAAATTCAAAGTCTCTGACCCTGACCCAGACCAACTGAATAAGAAACTCTAAGAGTAGGGCCCAGAAGGCCGCCCACAGCCCTCGTGGTTACGACACTGCTGAAGTTGGATGACCGCTGCAGTGGCACCCCCATCAAGCATCTGAGTCTTTATTTCCTTGCACCAGCAGTCAGCAGATGGAAGCTTCTGGTGAAGTTCCCTGAATTTTAAGATTACTAATTTTTGAAGACGATACTTGCAGGAATAAAGACATACTGGCACAGTTTTGTCATGCTCAGAAAGAACCTATCCCAAGAGCGATATTATACATAATGTGCTAGGGTTGAAGACAGAGGTATTTGTTCAATCAAGTCACAGCACAGGGACTTAATTGAGAAAAATGACACTCTAACTGATCAGATTACAACCTACATCAAGGAGTCCTGAAATTGGGAAATTGTGGAGGAAGAGAGGGAAGGGGGAGAAAGAAATTCTATGTTAAAGACTAAAAACTCTGGACACCAGAAAGGTTGAGTTTGTTCTGCACAGGGACCCTCAGCTGTCCCCATCTGCTTTGTATCCAACGAGTTCCACTATGAATTCTTGATTTTCAGCCTTGGTTGGGCGACAAGGCCCCCCATCCTCCAGAGAAGCTCTTTCAAGTGGCCTTGATTTGCCTAAAACTCATCACCCCATCACCTGGTCCTTTACCCTAAGAAAATAACCCTGCCCCAATTCAAAGAGAAAAGAAGTCATCAGATCAGTAATCCCTCAGATTTCTCCCACAAAATATACAGATTTAACCTGTAAGTACATTCACCTTTTCTTCTCCCTCCCTATTAAAATGAAACAGGTGCCCTCCCCCCTCATCTATGGTTACTTCACCTCCACTCTGGAGCCCACCCTTCTGCATCCAAGGGACTTTCCCTCTCATGACTATCTCCCTCTCCTTTTCCTTCACCGTCTCCTTCTATACAGGCTCATTCTCAACCACAGAGAAATGTACTCAAATCCCCCTTACTTTAAATAAAGAGCAGCCGGGCACAGTAGCTCACGCCTGTAATCCCAACACTTTGGAAGGCCCAGATGGGCAGATTGCTTGAGCCCAGGAGTTCAAGACCAGCCTGGGTAACACCGTGAAACTCCATCTCTACAAACAAACAAAAAATGGCCAAGTACGGTGGCTCACTCCTGTAATCCCAGCACTTTGGGAGGCCAAAGTGGGTGGAGTTTGAGAACAGCCTGGCCAACATGGTGAAGCCCCATCTCTACTAAAAATACAAAACTAGCCGGGCCTGATGGAGTGTGCCTGTAATCCCAGCTACCTGGGAGGCTGAGGTGGGAGGATTGCTTGAGCCCGGGAGGTCAAGGCTGCAGTAAGTTGTGATCGCACCACTGCTCTCCAGCCTGGGTGACAGAGCAAGACCCTGTCTCAAAAACAAACAAACAAAAAAGCATACTGAAACCCCATTTTTCCTTACCTACTCTTATCCCTCCAACTACTTGGTATTCTGGCATGAATCCTAGGCAGTTTCCATGTTAAAAGAGAGGATTCACAAGGTTCTACCAGGAAATGCCTTTATTCTATGCACCCCTCATTTCAACCTGTCCTGTGGAATTTGTTCCTGCCCTCCTCTGGAAGGGAGATTGGGTACAACCATAGTTGTAAGAATATACAAGAGTGGTCTTCTTTTTGCCATTGGTGTACTTGTTCCTCTGTCTTAATCAAAATTCTGAACTTTACTTAAAGCTTCTCCCCACTCTCGGCTTTGCCTTGGAGGCCTTGGAGTGGGCAGGGGTCTCTTGTCTTTCTAAGCTTCATGCTTCTGTACTGTCCCCTCCTCACAAATCCTCCTCTGGCTCCTCCTGGGAGAAAGCCAAGGCCAGGGAAGCTCTGATTTGGCAGACAGTGCCTCCACCTTCTAATAGTGCTCCCTTGTCTTGGGGACCCCCAAAACTGACTATTTTTCCTGGAGTACATTTAAGAGACGTTCTGCATAACTGTGGATCTCTCAAAAAGCTCCCTGCTTCCCATGTTTAGCCACTTACAACTCCCTATTAACTCTGTTTCTGATGGTCCAATCAACACAAACTCTCTCCCCGGTCGGGTCTCTGGCTCTCCAGGTGGCCCTTTTAGGTAAAGTCCACTTAAACGTGACTCCAGACATTTATTTCCAAGTCTGGTGGACTAGAAACCCTAAATGACCCAGCCCCAATTTCAGAAAAGGAAAATAAATGAAACTGGATAAATATGAAACAAAAGAAAATAACATTTTAGTGAATCAACATGCCAGCAATAAAGTGAGGCATCTATCTTACTCTGAAACTTGGAAGCAGGAGTTTCCAGTTTCAAAGTAAGATACTGAGCCTGGGAACTACGGAAAGTAAGGAAGATCCAAAGCAGCCTCCACCCAAAACTAAGTACTGAACTCTGATGACCTTTCGTTTCCATTTGAGAGCTACAGGGGCATGAGAAACAGAAAATTAAGCCCACCCAAGGTGGAGAGACTGCCCCACCAAGTGAAGCCTAGAACATCTATAGCCTTAGTATAAGGGTAAGTAGGAAACAGACTAGCAAAGAAGGGGAAAGAAAGAACATGCCTATCTTGAGAAGTCTTAACTACAATCCCCACTCATATGGGTTTTCAGCCAATACACACTATGTCTGTGTTTTGAAAAAACAGACAAATTGGTCTCAAGCTGGTCATGCCCCAGGTGACTTCTAGAAGAAATGTCATATACAGGTGCTCCTCGACTTACCATGAGGTTACCTCCTGATAAACTCATTGTAAGTTGAAAATATCATAGGTCTAAAATGCATTTAATATGACTAGCCTACCAAACATCAGAGCTTGGCCTAGTCACCTTCGTTGTGCTCAGAATTTACATTAGCCTGCAGCTGGGCAACAGACAACACAGCTCACTGTCACTTATCAGTTGTTTGCCCTTACGATCATGATCCCCTGGCTGACTGCCTAGCATCTCAAAAGAGGATCATGCAGTTTTCCGTGAATGCATATCACTTTTGCACCATAGTAAAGTCAAAAAATTGTGAAGTCAAACCATCATAAGTCAGGGACCATCTGTACTCTCAAAAGGAACCCAACCTCAACTCAATCTCAAAGAATTTCAACAGATAAAGTCTCAAGAAACAGAAATACAGAAGGAAACAAGGAACAAGAGCCAGGAACATGAGCAAGTAGCAGCAGAACATGCAGACACACCCACACATGTTGCAGATTGGGTGCTTTGGAAGCAGCCACAGGGTCAGACCTTGGAATACAGTGTTTATTAGGGTCAGCAACTGTGAAAGGGAGGAGAAGGAGAAGTTGAACTGTAATGTAGCTCTAACAAACCCTTGTTCAACCCAGTGTGTGAAAATATCATCCATGAGAGGTGCCAGGTCTTGATACCCTCACAAAATGGCCAGGTCTTGATACCCTCACTCTGTCCTCAGATGCAGGCTATTTTGAATAGGGCATGGCCGTAGGCAAGGCAGCTCCCTGCAGATGGAGGCTGCCTGCTGAGCTCATTTCTCCCCACAGCTGGGCATAGACATCTGGGCGTCAACTCTTTCCTTGATGTGGAATATAGGTGGCACATCTCTGTGTCAGATAGATAGATAGATAGATAGATAGATAGATAGATAGATAGATAGATAGATAGTTAGATTAGATGTCAGAGAGACCAAGATTTTCGATATGGAACCTATCAAATAGAATATAAAATAAGTATTTTATTTATTTTTGAAGACAGGGTATCGCTGTCACTCAGGCTGGAATGCAATGGCACAATTCCAGCTCACTGCAGTCTCAAGCTCCCAGGCTCTAGCAATCCTCCCACCTTAGTCTCCCGAGACTAGGACTACAGGTGCACACCCGCCATGCCTGGCATATATATATATAGTAGAGTTGGGGGTCTCACTACATTACCCAGGCTTATCTCAAACTCCTGACCTCAAGCTGTCCTCCTGCCTTGGCCTTCCAAAGTTCTGGGATTACAGATGTGAGCCACTGTGCCTGGCCAAGTATTTTAATAAATATTTTTATTTCCTTTAGAGTTTTGAAAATAAATGAGCACATTTGTAAGGAGAACCAAATTTGTAAAGTAGAACTTCTAGAAATGAAAATTATAATATTCAGATTTAAAAGTTTATTAGACGTGTTAAACAGCAGATTAAGCACAACCAAAGAAACAATTACTAAACTAGAAAATAGGCATGAAGAAATCCAAAATGCAGCCCAGAGAAACAAAGAGATGGAAGAGAGAATAAGAAGATGTAATATATGTTTAGAGTTCAGTAGAAGACATGAGAGAGAATGAAGAAGAGGTGATATTCAATAAAATAATGACTGAGAGATTTCCAGATTTGTTGAAAGACTCAAACTGTCAGAGCCAGGAAGCCCAATAAATTCCCTGTGGGTTAAATAAAATAAATCCAAAGGTAGATGCATTATTAAAAACAACAACAACAACCAAAGAACATCAAAGACAAGCAGGTTTTCAATGCAAGCCAGAGAGAAAAGACAACAACCTTCAAAGGGAAGGAGTTACATTAAAGGTTATTTCTTATCAACAATAATCAAAGCCAAAAGAGAGTAGAATTTTTTTTTCAGTTTGCGAAATTTTTTCAGTTACTGTCATCCTGGAACTCCATACCGAGTCAAATTATTTTTTCAAGAACGAAGAATAAATAATAACCTTTTCAGACAAACAAAACCTGAGAGAGCTTCCCCCAACGGACTCTTATAAGCAGAAATTCTTGTAATTTCTGCTTGTAAGGTATTTGGCAATCCTAAAATTAAAAACATACTTTCACCAAAAAACATACTGGAGAAAATAAGAAAACAAGGCAAAGAGTGAAAGAAGATACTTGTAATACATATAACCCACAAAGTCTAATATCAATGATATGTACAGGGATGATATGGTTTGGCTGTGTCCCACCCAAATCTTGTCTTGAATTCCCACATGTGTGGGAGGGACTCAGTGAAAGGTAATTGAATCATGGGGGGCAGGTCTTTCCCGTGCTGTTCTTGTGATAGTGAGTAAGTCTCATGAGATCTGATGGTTATCATAAAGGGGAGTTTTCCTGCACAAGCCCTCTTCTCTTGTCTGCCACCATGTGAGCTGTGCCATTCACCTTCTGCCAAGATTGTGAGGCTCCCCCAGGCATGTGGAACTGTGAGTTCTCCATTAAACCTCTTTCCCTTGTAAACTGGCCAGTCTCAGGTATTTCTTTATCAGCAGTGTGAAAACGGACTAATACAAGGGATCTTTCTAATAATGAATAAGAATATGACAACTCAACAGAAAAATGGCAACCAACTCAAACAGGCATTTCATGCAAAAGGAAATTCAAATGGCCGATAAACTTATTTTTAGATGCTCAAATTTATTAGTAATCCAAGAGATGCAAACGAAAATCATAATAAGATACCATTACATTAGGATGTCAGAAACTCTGAAGTTTGATAAACCAAATGTTGGTTGGGACGTGAAGCAACTGGGACTTCCATACACTGCTGTTGGCAGTGGAAGCCAAGAACAGGTTGTTATGGAAGATAAGAATAGAGTGATCGCTTCCATTGGGATCGCCTTTCTAAGAAAATTTTAGCTGAGATTGAAGAATAAGAAGGAGTTCATTAGATCAAGCTTTTCCAGCATAGAAAAATTTGTGGACAGTTGGGCGTGGGGTCTCAAGCCTGTAATCCCAGCAGTTTGGGAGGCCGAGGTGGGTGGATCACCCGAGGTCAGGCGTTCAAGACTAGGCTGGCCAACATAGTGCAACCCCGTTTTTACTAAAAATACAAAAATTAGCCAGGCATGGTCGTGGGCACCTGTAATCCCAGCTACTCGGGAGGCTGAGGCAGGAGAATCGCTTGAACCCAGGAAGCAGAGGTTGCAGTGAGCCGAGATCACGCCACTGCACCCCGGCCTGGGCAACAGAGTGAGACTCCATCTCGAACAAAGAGAAAAATTTGTGGAAAAGCCTGAATGGTAGAGGGCTTGGCATGTCTAAAGAACAGAAAAACAGCCAGTGTTGCAGGACAGAGGAGCAAGGGGTGTGTGTACAGAACAGCCCAGGATTAGGTTAAAGTGGCAGAGGCATTATTCACGTTTTTCAGGTTATTCTGAGGATTTTGACTATCATCCTAAGACCTATGGGAAGCTATTCAAGGGTTTAACGAGCAAGGTAGTGGCGTTATCATATTTGCATTCTTCAAAGATCACTCTGGCTAATAAGGAAAACGGGTTGGGTGCATGTGTGTGTAATAATGGACACAGGGAAATCACCCAGGAGCCTTTTGCAATAATCCAGGTGATGAAGAATGAGAGCATAGTGTAGGGGGAAGTGGGCAGATTGTGGATAGTTAGGAAGTAAAATCAATAGGCCTTAGTGATGGTTTGGGTATGGTGGTGAGGACTACAACTGATGTCTGGGGCCTGGCTTGCAAAACCAGTTTCATTGTGGTGCCATTCACTCAGATAGAAAACCCCAGAAGAGGACAAATTTGAATGTGGGGCAGAGAGAGATTAGTTCAGCTTTGCACATACTGATTTTGAGGTGCTTATTTTCCCTCCAGGTGGACAGATAAAAGATCCGATGGTGCATTAGACCCACTCACACTAGTTTGCATCTCTTCCAATTCTGTGTTCAGTCATATCATGTCAGTAGCTTGATGTCAGCCACAGTGAGAATATATGCACCTGGAAATTGGCAAATGCGACAATTCATGGTGTATTATTTCTTCCCCTTTGGAGAATTGGTTGTTAAACATTGACCAGCACACCACTCTTTGGACTGCAGAGGAGAAGTCTGGTGTCGAGATATAAAATTGGGGAGTCACTGGAAGGCAGCTGGAGGTTCTCAGCTGTGCTTCATTAAGCGGCAACTCATTTTTCACAGAGAGCTGAAAGTCTTAGTGGGGAATTTGCTTATGCCATCCCCATAAAACTGCCTCGTATAGATACATGAATGGCTGGCAGACTCTTCAGACAGGTTGGGGATAATTTTATAAGAAAATGAATAAAAAAGAAATATTTGTCAAAGAAATGCAATTCTCCCATTTTTGGCCTTGCTGATGTGGCAAGGAATGTGAAAAAAAGTGTTAAGGTTTACTCGCATGTTCCATTTACTGCCTTTGGGACCATTTGCACTTGCTTCCTTAGGAGCTCTGTGGCCTGATGCCAGCCCTGTGTACACACCAACACCAGGTGGCAGGCCTTATGCACACCTACCCCACCTGACCTCACATCCAGGCATAAGCAAGAAGACACAAGCAAAGAGCCCTGCCAACAGCCTCGTTTCCATCCACAGAACCATGCACTTCCAGGCCGCACATGGAAGCAGAGCTTAAGAAAATACCGTGGCTAAGGTGTCTGACAACTGGAGCAAGAAGTGTAGCTATTACTGTTCAAAGAAGGGCTTCCAGGGCTGCAAAGCAGTAGTAGTGCATGGTTCTGGGAGCAGCAGCCCTGCCCCTAGGAGGTCTTGGTACGCTTCCAGAGATAACAGCTCTAATGATGGTGGTGGGAGCACCTTCCTCCGGGTTAGGACTTTACACTTTTCCAAGTATTTTCACATGCAGTTTCTCATTTCTTTTTTACGACAGCTCGATGGAGTTGAAAGCACAAGTGTCACTATCTTCCCCTGCTTTACAAATGAAGTAACTAAGGTTCAGAAAGAGTAGTTGTGACTGTCCAATTCCAGCTCCTTCAAATTAACATGGACCACCCAGCAACGCTGTGCTGGGACTGGGTAACATTCACTCAAAGTCTTTCCCATTTATCTTCTCTCCAATGTCTTATTGTTGGCATCTCTGGTTTCCTAACCTTCCTCCCTTCCCTACCCTCCCACCAATTTGAATTCCAGGAAATGGTGTACATACTTGCACATATAATGGAATATACAATTCTATATGTGATTGTATCTGTTAGTAATAGTATATATTTTACCTTCTGAAACATCTGAACAGGCTGCTTATTTATAAAGACATAAGTGGAAATCCAAGCAGTATCCATCATATATGTGTTAATATATATTATAAAAATGTTTTTTAAAAGAGCTTTCATCTGGTTATAAAATTAATACATATGTTTATATTATAAAACTTGGAACAAAACGTTTTTGTGATTATAAAATGATATATTCATTGATATTATAAAGTTTGGAAAATCAGGAATAAACTATTATCCATAATTAATATCCAAACAAAAATATTTGGTGTGATGGAAACCTCCTTAGAGCAAGTATGTAGACTACCAAGATAGTGATTTTTTTTTTTTTTTTGAGACAGAGTCTTGTTCTGTCACCCAGGCTGGAGTGCAATGGCACCATCTTGGCTCACTGCAACCTCCGCCTCCCAGGTTCAAGCAATTCTCCTGCCTCAGTTTCCAGAGTAGCTGGGATTACAGGCACCTGCCACCACGCCCGGCTACTTTTTTGTATTTTTAGTAGAGACAGGGTTTCCCTATGTTGGCCAGGCTGGTCTCGAACTCCTGACCTCAGGTGATCCACCCGCCTCAGCCTCCCAAAGTGCTAAGGATTATGGGCATGAGCCACCACACCCAGCCAATGGTGATTATTTTAAAAGCACACTTATTTGAGTACAGGCATACCTTGGAGATATTGTGAGTTCAGTTTCAGACTACTGCAAAAAAAAAAAAAGGGAATCACACAAACTTTTGGTTTCCTAGTGCATATAAAATTATGTTCACACTATACAGTAGTCTATTAAGTATGCAATAGCATTATGTCTAAAGGAGCAATGTACATACCTTAATTAAAAAGTACTTATTGCTTTAAAAATGCTAACAATCAGCAAGTCATCACCCTTTTGCTTGCAGGTCTTGCCTCACTGTTAATGGTTGCTAACTGATCAGAGTGGTGGTTGCTGAAGGTTGGGGTGGCTGTGCTATTTCTTTAGGACAATGAAGTTTGATGCATCTATGACTTTTCCTTTCACAAAAGATTTCTCTGTAGCCTCCAATGCTGTTTGATAGCATTTACCCAGAACTTTCAAAACTGGAATCAGTCTTCTCAAAGCCTGCTACTACTTTATCAAGCAAGTTCAAGTAATACTCTAAATCCTTTGCTGTCATTTCAACAATGTTCACAGCATCTTCAGCAGAAGTAGGTTCCACCTCAAGGAACTGCTTTCTTTGCTCATCCACAGAATCAGCCCCTCATCCATCTAAGCTTTATCATGAGATGGCAGCAGTTCAGTCACATCTTCAGCCTTCACTTGTAATTCTAGTGCTCTTGCTATTTTTATCACATTTACAGTGATTTTCTCCACTGAAGCCTTGAACCCCTCTAAGTCATCCAAGAGGGTTGGAATCAACTTCCTCCAAACTTCTGAACATCCTTCCAGGAATCACAAATGTTCTTAATGGCATCTAAAATGATAAATCCCTTCCAGAGGTTTTCAATTAACTTTTCCCAGATCCATCAGAGGAATCACTGTCTAGGGCAACTATAGCCTTAGAAAGTGTATATCTGAAATAATAAGACTGAAAGTCGAAATTAGTCCTTGATCCACAGGTTGCAGAATAGATCGTTGTATTAGCAGGCATGAACATAACATTCGTCTCCATCTTCATCAGAGCTCTTGGGTGACTAGGTGCATTGTTAGTGAATAGTAATATTTTGAAAGGAATCTTTTTTTTTTTAATCTGGGCAGTAGGTCTCAACAGAGGGCTTAAAATATTCAGTAAACCATACTGTAAACAGATGTGCTGTCACCCAGACTTTGATGTTTCACCGATAGAGCACAGGCAGAGTAGATTGAGCATCATTCATAGGGACTCTAGCATTTTAGGAATGGTAAAGGAGCACTGACTTCAACTTAAAGTCACCAGCTGCATTAGCCCCTAACAAAAGAGCCAGCCTGCCCCTTGAAGCTTGGAAGCCAGGCATTGACTTCTCTTCTCTAGCTATGAAAGTCCTAGATGACATCTTTTTCCAATGCAAGGCTGATTTATCCACCTTAGAAATCTATTGTTTAGTGTAATCACCTTCATCAGTGATCTGAGCTACGTCTTCTGGACAATTTGCTGGAGCTTCTCCATCAGCACTTGCTGCTTCACCTTGCACTTTTATGTTATGAAGATGGCTTCTTTCCTTAAACCTCACGATCCAGTCTCTGATAGCTTCAGAGTTTTCTTTTGCAGCTTCCTCAGCTCTGTCAGCCTTCACAGATGATACAGTTTGGATGTTTGTCCCCTTAAAATATCATGTTAACATATGATTCCCAATGTTGGAGGTGGGGCCTGGTGGGCGGTGATTGGGTCATGGCGGGTGAATCCCTCATGTCTTGGTGCTGTCCTCATGAGGGTGAGTGAGTTCTGGTGAGATCTGGTTGTTTAAAAGTGTGTGGCAGCCCCCACTCCCTCTCTTGCTCCCATTCTCACTGTGTGATGTGCCTGCTTCCCCTTTACCTTCTGCCACAATCAAAAGCTCCCTCAGGCCCTCACCAGAAGCAAGTGTCAGCACCATACTTCTTATACAGCCTGCAGAACCAGGAGCCAATTAGACCTCTTTTCTTTACAAATCACCCAGCCTCAGGTATTTCTTTATAGCAACACAAGAACAGTCTTACTCAATAGAATTGAAGAGAGTTGGGGGCCTTGCTCTGGATTAGGCTTTGGCTTATGGGAATGTGGTGGCTGGTTTGATCTTCTATTCAGACCACTCAAACTTTCTCCCTATCAGCACTAAGGCTGTTTTGTTTTCTTATCATTCATGTGTTCACTAGAGTAGGACTTTTAACTTTTCAAGAACTTTTTCTTTGCATTCACAACTTGGCTTGTTTGACATAAGAGGCCTAGCTAGCTTTCAACCTGTCTGGGCTTTCAACATGCCTTCCTCACACTCTTAATAATTTCTAGCTTTTAATTTAAAATTAGAGACATGCAACTTTTCCTTTCACTGGAACACTTAGAAACCATTGTAGGCTTAGTGATTGGCCTAATTTCAATATTATTGTATCTTGGGGAATAGGGAGGCTTGAAGAGAGGGAGAGAAATGAAGGAGACGCTGGTTGGTGGAGCAGTCAGAACACACACGACATTTATCAATTAAATTTGCCATCTTATATGGGCATGGTTCATGAAGCTCCAAAACAATTACAATAGTAACATCAAAGATCACAGATTACCACAACAGATATAATAGTCATAAAAACGTTCAAAATATTGTAAGAGTTACCAAAATGTGACACAGAGACACAAAGTGAGCACATGCTGTTGGAAAAACAGTGCTGATAGACTTGCTCAACACAGGGTTGTCACAAACCTTCAATTTCTAAAAAAAATACAATATCTGTGAAGTGCAATAAAGCCACAATAAAACAAGGTGTGCCTGAATACAAATGATGGTATTTACACATATAATGAATATTCCTGTGTATGCCTATTCATGTATATATATTTTTAGTCAATCTCATCCTATGGAATCCCTTTAATCCCCACTTCTAGTCCCAATTCTAGGACTTAGAGTCCTAAGGGGTAGCTGTGGAAGCATCAGATACACAGTCACTATGGTAGCCTGTCTCTTGTGTAGTTCCCTGCCAGCAGCCATGTGAGTGCACCATCCTGAAGTCAGGTCCTCCAGCCCCAGTCAGGCCTTCAGATGACCACAGCCCCCAATACTATGAGGAGAGATCCTATCATGAGAGATCCTGAGCCAGAACCATCCAGCTAAACTGCTCCTCAACTTCTGATCCACAGAAACTATGGATTAATAAACTCGTATTGTTGGTTTAAGCCCAAGATTTGGAGTAATTTATTATGCAGATAACAAATATACTGGCTTTAAATCAGACAATATAACCTAAACCCAGTCTCTATCACTTACTGGATAATGGCCTTGGGAATCACACTTTATCTCTTATTTATAAATTATTTAAAATGGAAATAATATTACCTACCTCAAAGCATTGCTTTAAAGAGTAAATGTGATCATATAGCACAGGGTCAGCATTCCTTGGGTGACTAATTCATTTCAGTTTCTCATTTTTAGCACCAGAAGTGCAGCATCTGGAGAAGCCCCTCAATCCTGGGAAGACTGGGATAGTTGCTTATCCTAGTATTCATTGAAAACTGGATGAAGGTGAAAGGCGTCAGTGGCATATAGAAAATCAAGAAAGCCTAGAAACACCAGATGAACTTACCCCATCCCCTACTTACCTACACATGAAGAGATGTCCTGGCTATAGATTGTATCATCGTATCTGCGAGACCTGGATTCCCAGGTCTTGGGAATACAATGAGGTTGCTTCTTAGACATTCGGCAGTGCCTCTGGAGACTCCTGGCCTGCTGAGGAGCTCTGCTGCCTCCGTCACTCTGGTCTTGCAGTGGAGACTCCGGGTATTGCCATGAGCATGCTTCCTGAAGAATGAGACAGGGCCTGCACTGGAAACAATGCCAGTCTAGAACATCGTATCAGACACTGCTGAAGGATTTTGGGGCACTGACAGGGAAGTGCACCTCAACCAGTGCTAGAAATGGCTACTCTTACACCCAAACCTGACCTTGGAGGCCCTTACCAGGCAGGCTCCCTGGCCAGCCTTCAGTCAGCCTCCAGGGACCCCTAAGATCTCCCAGCCCCTTAGAGTCCACATGCTATGGGACACACCTCCCTCCATTCTGCCTGGAGGTCTCACCTCCAGACCTCCTTGCACTCTGCGCATCTCCACCAACCCACTCCACACATGACTGGTGCCTTCTTGTCCTTCAGGTCTATGCTGAGCCACTGCTTCCTTTTAGAATGTCCCCCAAGACCCAGGGATGGGTCCCAAACCTTGTCCTGGAGGTGGTGCATTGCAGGCCATGGCATGGGTGCCCCTTTGCTTGTCTGCCCCCACTACCACCTGCCAGCAGCCTGCTTGAGCTCAGGACTGTCCTTGTTCACCCTTCTCTTTTCAGTGTCACCACGGTGCCTGCCACATAATAGATGCTCAATAAATAACTGCCAGTTAAATGAATAAATGGCTTTCATTCCACTTTGCTCAATTTTCCAAAGACTGAGAGCTGGGAAGAGTCAAATGCTCCTTCTGCTCCTTCAAGGCCACAGTTTGCTCTGGCTAATGAGCCAGCCACGGGAAGAGGGAGCAAGGACTGGAGTGCTCATCCTCACACAGGATGCATAGTGGTGCACAGCAACAGCACTTCAGCATCCAGGAGTGCCTGTCACAAAGCAAGGGCAGGAGTGGTCATGGCTCTTAAAGGATGTCAGGGGATGTAGTTCTCTGGCTACACTGCTCACTTAGGAAGTCAGGGATAAAAGTAACAAGCTCTGAATGAGTTTTCTTGCTTTTGCAAAACAATATGACACAGACCTGGACTGGGCCATTTGGTAAACTCCAGTGCTGATGGACTCCTGTGACAGGGAGCTTCAGCCTGCAACGACTGAACTGCCCACCTGCAGGTGCAAGCACAGGTAGTGGGTAGTCTGGTGACACGCCAGGGGACGATGCTCAGGCAGTACAGAGGCAGCTAGCCTCGGGGCCATGCCGGGAAGCAGGAGCGAGCGAGGCCATGGCAGCCTGGGCTCCTTGCCAGGGGCTCCTACTTCATGCATCATGTGTCTCGTTGGAGAGAAGAATGTCTTCCAGGAATCCCGGTCACCTCAACATCTGGTTTAGTGCTTTTTCCTCCAGCCCAAATAAAGTGACTTGTTACTTTCAAAATCAGGTCCAAGTAAACAGAGGGGAAGGGTGTTTCCACAAACAGACTTCGTTCCATCTGGTAAACAAGAGAAAAAAAGGGTTGGAGGGCAAAGTGAAGCCTTGCGAAGGGCAGCAGAATGGAGTGGGCAGCCTGCAGGATATTTGCGGTGAGTGCAACATGCTGAAATCCAGGCTCTGAGACAGCTTGTCTGCTGGGCTGCTGAACAGGGAGGGAAGAAACTGCATGCTAATGAGCTATTTGCTATGACGTGGCTGCTATGGGGAGGTAAGCACTATCCCGTATGTGATTCTCCAAGACAGCACTGTGACCAACACACATAAAGTGTCAGGCTGAACAGCTGCAGCCGCCCTTGGGGTTGAGGGAAGGGCTCTTGTAACATTAATTGAATGCCCTTATGCTTTTACATGTTTTCTTTAATGCAATCCTTGCAACAAAGCTGTAAAGAGGAATTATCATCCCTGCTTTATTAATTAGACTAAGCAACTTAAGTGCACACAACTAGTAAATTCAGAACCATGATCCGAACCTGGAGCTCCTACCATTGTTCTGTAGTGCGAGGTGCCACCTTCAGACTACGGCCTCTGCATTACTGTCTTAGACACTTTCCACACGAGGGCTGAGTAACTTTGTTTTCTAGTTTAATGGTGATTTCAATAGGTCCATAGCCAATCACAGCAAGCTATTGATGAGAACATTCTCAGTGAGCATAAACCCCTGGGCCAACCACTCTGCTTCACATTTGCAATCCTGCCTCCTCCTACATTGGGATTTAGCACATTTTCCACAAGGTGGAGCATCGAGGTAACTACATAAAACTCACACTCACTTATGCTTTTTTTTTTTTTTTTCGAATTTGAAAATCCAAATTCCCCATCTGCTCACAAAGTCTTGTCTGGAATTAACCAGACAGAATGATAGCCTCACATTATAGAGTGGGTGCCCAGTTAAGGAAGCAAGTTGAATTTACAGCGGTAACCTTTGCTTGCCAGGAAAGTCATCCAACTGGGGTTGGAAAACCAGTCCTCAAATCTTGAGTATTAATTGGACCTTTGGCCAAAGCAATCACTCTATCAGCCAATTAAGGTCCTTGGAGCAAGAGCATACTGTCACTCAGAGCCAACACAGGCAGCTTAAGCCCTGGTCACAGACCATTTCTTTCCCTCTGCCGCCAAACCCATGCCTTTGCCCCTTTGTCTCCAGTGACTCGAGTTTCCCTTCTTCCGTCTGCAAGCAAAATTAGAGGGCTTTAGAGCTCTCCAGGACCCAGCTACCTATGAGTATTTTAAAAAGAAGCCACAGCTAATCTATTGAAATTTGTAAAGTTTGTGAATTTTCAGTGAGGGTCATCAGGGAGTTTGTTTCCTTCTGGAAAGAGACAAAGAGAAGTGGGAACCAAGAGGAGTGGGAATTTGGAGACCAGCTGATGGGATGGAATTGCGTGGAAGACATGCCAACTTCTCACCATCTTTCTTTCCAGTGTGAAAAGGAACACGTATTCAACACCTGCACTCTTTCTGTTACTGTTTTCGGCATCATATTGACTAGTATGTTCCAATGGCACTCATGTTTCCAATGAGTGTGAACCATCGCTCACTGGAAAGACACATATAGACACTCTGGTGTCCATGGGTATAGGTTGGAATCCAGGCTCTGTCACTTTCTAGTTATAAAATTCTGGACAAGAAACTTACACTCTCAAAGCTTCCATGCTGCCAACCTTAGGTTGCCAAAAGGTTTACATGAAAATTATTTCACACAGTTAACACATGGTATGTACTCAATAAATGTTAGTCACTATTGTTATTGTTATCTGCTGGCCATTTTTCCAAATCCTCTCTCACTCAGAGACTCCTCTCCATTTAAAAAAAAAAAGTATAAAATTGGACATTTCTGTGGGCCCCAAATCTGTATATTTTCTAACTTAGACCAGTGGCAAGCTTGTACTAGGATACATGGGACCAAGCCAAGCTCTCCAGAGAGTCTCTGGTGAATTACAATGTGGATGCTAAGCCCCACATATAGGAAGCAGAAAGTCTTTTTTGATATATGACCAGGAAAATGGAGAATTGAGGCAATCGCAATAAAGTTTTGACTCACTTGAGATATCCCAATCATTGAGGAAAAAAAAGTATTCTGTGGACTTAATTATCTGAAAAATTGCTTCAAGCTTCCAGGGAATCCTGTAGACAGTGAAATGATTGACATGACTTCCCCACAGCACATGATTTGTATGGCCGCCCACAAAAGCAAGAATAACCAGTCAGTGAAAGACTGAATTGGTAAAAAGCTAGAGGAACATTCCCCAACCAAGAGTTATCAGCTCCCAGGGCTCCCTGGAGCAAGAAGTCACCAACTGACAGAGTGGCCATCCTGCAGGACAGTGTGGTTTGGCCACCTGCATCAAAACCAAGTGTGATGCTCAAAAGCACAGAAAGATTTCATCTTGACTTTTCTAACATTATTCCTGACAGTTATCTGAGATTTGGGACCGCTGGTTTTATCTAAGAATAACTGAGTAGCTACCACAATGACAATTCATGGAGTAGTCTCAGAATTCTTCACTTCCAAGATAAACATGAAGAGGCTTATGGAAAAAAGAAATCTTTCCTGTCCATTTCACCTACATTTCTTGGCTTCCTACGTGCTTTGTGAGATATCCCTCACATTTACACTTCTCAACTATTGCTCCCTTCTCCCCATTGGCCCTGGCCGTTAAACCGATAATGATGGCACAGTGTCCTTTCAGACACATTTTTATTGAGGTCCCACTGTCTAAGTGAAGTGGGTGTGCCGAGGGCACTGGGTTGAGACTGCACATTGGAAAGCATCTCAGTGCTGATAACCTCCCAGTGCCTTGTGACAAAGCAATGGGTTTACCATCAGGTCCAAGTAATGTGCCAGAAACGTTCAGGACCTTAGCAGAAAAGAGAGAAAATTATCTTCAAGGCAAGGAGACCCATGAGAGCAGACTTCAATATGTAAAATCAATCAGAAGGGATAGATGTGCCAAGGCTTGTCCCTGGGCTCCAGGTGATCCAGCCACCCCCTGCTACATGCAGTCTTACAACGTTGATGCCCATTCTGCTGCCAGACCAGGATCTTTCCAACACTAGCTTTGCCCCAGTGGATACTTCTAGCTGAACCCTGCAGCCCTTCCACATAGGCTCCACTCAGCACTAGGTACAGTCTGTGTGGCATCTGTGGCCTCATGCCCAGACACATAGGGCAGGACATTAATTCAGAGGGCCTAAAACTTACAACCATAACTTTTAAAGACTGCTATTTTAAACTGTGTTGCATTTACAAGTTGAAAACTCATGAATTCCTTCAAAAGCATGGAAATAACGGCACTAATAAAAATATCTAATGAAATAATACGAGTAAACTGTTACTCAACTGTACCCATTGCTATCAACATCCTCGGTGAGGCACTTGAAACGTGAAGTTGATTGGAAGGACTGTTTAGTGCTACCCGTCCTGAGCACCAATGGGTCAAGCCAGTGCTCTTGCTTCCCTCCTGCTGAGAGCACTGGCCTTGGTCCTGGGTGCCAGGATTGGGAAGGGGGGCAAAGGGGAATGATTATCATCTCCATAGCTGCCCTTCCCAGCACTGGGTGCCAAGAGCTTTACATTCACTAATTTAATCCCATTAACAACTCTATAATAGAGTGGGCACTTCTGTGCCATTCTACAAATGAGGATTCGGAGACTCGAACAGCCTCAGAGTAACCTGCCCCAGTTACACAGTTAGTGTGTTACGGATTTGGGTCTAGAATCCAAATGAGGGCTGTTGGGTCACAAAACACCTATCTCCATGATTAGATCAATGTTCTCAAACTTGAACGTGCATTCAGGTCACCAGGGGAGTCTTGTCAAGATACAGATTCTGATCCTGTGGGTCTGGGCTGAGGCCTGAGCCTCAGCCTTTCTGACAAGCTCCCAGGAGATGCAGAGGTTGCGGGTCTTAGACCACACTTGGAGGAACCAGATGCAGTGTTGCACCCCTCTTCTATGTCCACGAAGTGTCCACAAGTGAGAGAAGGCCGAGTACAGAAAAAAGGAGAAGGAGGAAGACCAGTTTTTCCCTTCTGCAAAATGTTGTTCTGTCCCCTGATGCAGGGGTCCCCAACCCCTGGGCCGAAGACCGGTACCAGTCCATTGCCTGTTAGGAACCAGGCCACAGAGCAGGAGGTGAGCAGTGGACAAACATTACCACCTGAACTCCTGTCAGATCAGCGGTGGCATTAGATTCTCATCGGAGCTGGAACCCTATTGTGAACTGTGCATGGGAGGGATCCGGGTTGCACGCTCCTTATGAGAATCTAATGCCTGATGATCTGAGGTGGAACAGTTTAATCCTGAAACCAATCTATGAAAAACTGTCTTCCACAAAACCAGTCTCCACGGTCAAAAAGTTTAGGGACCACTGCCCTAATGTATACCTGACAATCAAGAAACCCACAGCCAAGAGCTTTGCTCCCATGAAAGCTCTTAACCAGCAACTAAATTCAGTTTCCATGTATCTGTCAGAGATCTTTTCCAGAACACTTGGGCCTCAACAGACTGGCCCAATTTTGCACTTTAGGAAATCAGCCTCCAGGAGTAAGAACTGGTACAACTCCCTTCCCCAAGATGAAACCCGAGGACACAGTGATAGTCACAACTGGGTCAGCCCAAAAGCTTGCATGTGGTCTGCCACACACACACTGGGAGAAAGCGAATGCTGCCTCCTTTAAGGACACCTCAGGGGCATCCAAGGTCATCCACGACAGCCTGATATGGGCCTTTCAGCTCATGACTTTCACCTGGGATTGGTTCTCATTTCTAAGTGGCACTTCCTCCCCCGTGGAGCTTTCTGGGGACACTTCATGGAAGGTGCGTTTTATTTTCATGGAGAGCATCGGGGTGAGTCTTGAGAGTGAGGTTAGGACTCTCAAGAGGGACATGGCAGGGATGTCTGGTGGCAGCTGAAGCTTCAGCCCCACACACAGGACCAGAAGTAACTCGGAGCACAGCCATATGCCAGGCCCGCCAGGAGCCAACACTGCCCCTCCTGCCCTCCTTTCCTGCATTTGGTTCCCTCCCTCTCTGTGGGCATCCTCCCTCTTCCCTACACCCAGAACGTGGAACTGGGAAGTGCCCGGCACAGACCCCATGCCCTCGTCCTTGGCATGAGCTCACCCTTCTTAAAGAAAACATGCAGTGCAGTGACCACCACTAAAAAGCATGGTGAAGACTGGGCAAGAGACATGATGTTTTCATCCTGAGTTTCCTCAGCCTGTTGCTGGAAACTTTAGGGAGTGATTCTTCCATGAAATCATCATCCATTCATTCAGCAAATACTGAGGACCTACTAGGCAGGAGGCACTTTGCTAGGCCTGGGGCTATGGAGATGAGTGTAACACAGTCCCTGGGCCTAAAGAATTTAGCATGTAGAGGGGGACAAACAGGGAGTAAACAGCGATGGCACATTCTCATAAGTGCCGTGAGAAAGGCATGTTCAGAGCAGAGAGGAGCTGGACGAGAGGGCACCCACAGTCACTGAGCACTCACTCTGTGCCAGACACTTTACATCCATTTCTTTGATGCTTTCCAATATTGTTCACATCACTGCTCATCTGGAAAATGAGAATAGCCCTGAGACCAAATGAGGTAAGCTCAGGAGGCCTCTCTTAGCTGGAGGCCCCCTGCCCCGGCTCCAGCCCATCTCAGCAATCCTAACCCATCCTCAGGTATGCTACTGTCCCATACAGCCAGGGAGGGATGAGTTACGTTACACCATCAACTCCTCACAACTCTAAAAATGGTGAAAGAAGGCTGCATGAGTGTAAGCAGCTGGTTCAAGCTGTCCCCGTTCATGAGAAATGAGATTGAGATGCCGACCCAGGCTTGTTCCACAGTAACAGGGTTCCCCGTTGCATTGCCCCCAGCTCTGCCTTGCTTGAGGAGTGGACACCAGGAAAGGGATCTGGACAAGGAGTTTCGCTGCAGGAGAAGGAAAGAGCAGAGATTTCCAAGCATAAGAAACAGCACGTGCAAACACACAGCAACATCAAACAAGTTTTTCCATATCCCAGATTAAGAACTGTGGAATAGTATTCATTTATGTGTGACAAGAATAAAAGGAAATTGTTTTGCTGAGATGGCTTAAAACCTGGATGACGGGTTGATAGGTGCAGCAAGACCCCATGGCGCATGTATGCCTATGTAACAAACACGCACATTCTGCACAACATGTATCCAAAACTTAAAGTAAAATTTACAAAAAGGAAATTATTGCAACACAGTTACTAATAATTGCTTCCCTCTTCACCTTTTAAATAGAAAGGACACTTTGCTCAGGCAGGTTAGCTTTTCAGTTCTGTTCCACTGACTAACAGATGGATTGGAGCATGTCAGATGCTGAAGGGCAGGCCTAATCCAGGTGAGATGGGTAGGTCAGGGGAGGGAAGGAGGAGAGTTTAGCAGGTGGGAACAGAGGAAGAATCATGGGGAACTGGAAGGGCACTGAGAAAGAGAGGGAGAAGTAGCCACAGAGGCTCTTGAAGAGATGTGGGGAGGTTTTGCAGGGTTCTTGTGTGTTGAACAGTCAAGAGACCCTCAGCCAAGGCCTAGCAGAGCCGTTCTGGGTGTTTAGATGTCCATGCTTGTTTCTCTGAGCCATATCACCGTGCTGAAAATGGCCTGGGGGCAAGTCTGTACACTTGAGTTGTACATTTGATCCACAAACTTGCTTTGGAGATCCTACTCCGTCCAACTGCGGTGCTGAGCAGCAGGAATACAGCCCTGTCATCCATGTGCTTCCGGTGAATCCAGGGCACAGACAACCAGCAGGTGCTCTGATGACAGGGTGAGGCCTTTCAGACAAAAGGGACAGCACACGGAATTATTCTTGACTCTTTCTGTGCTCACAGTCCACATCCAGTCCGTCCATGAACTATGAAGCTGTTTCCACTTTGGGGCCATGATGAATAACGCTCCTGTGAACACGAGTTTTTTGTGATGTGATGTTTTCACTTTTCCCGGGTGTGCAGCTACGAGTGGAGTTACTGGGTCACATGGTGCCTCTGTGATCTGTCTGCACATACTCCATATTTTACTTATTAATTTTAGTTCTATCCTATCCTGTTTTCTCACCTTTGCTAAAACGCAAACCTCATGAAGGCAGCAAATTGTTTTCTGTTTTGTTTGCTGCTATATCTCCAGTGCTTAGAAAATAAGTCCTCAGTAAATATTTCTGGAATAAATGACTGAATAAATGTACAGAGGCCTGAGGGTGAAACATCCTTTTGTATTCAGGAAGCTGCAAGTCACTCAGGATGACTGGATTGTAAGATACAGGGGCTTAAAGGGCAATGCTGAGGTTGTGCATAGGGAACAGGTGAACTTACCAAGAACCATGGGCCTTAGGCATGCTCTCTTAACCAGGAGAGCAACCAGATCCATGGGGGCAATTTGTGTTGCAGGTTGTGGGATTCCAGCTCAAGTTAGCCTAAGCAAAAGAGGGATTCTATTGGTTCCCAAGACTTAAGTTCAAGGTAAGCAGTTGCTTCACCCCCTGTGAGATCCAGAGATGAAGATGATTCTCTTTCTCCCTCCTCTTCCCTTTCTCTTTCTCTCAGTCCCTTCTTTTCTCTCCCTCTCTCCTGTGGCCCCTCCTCCACTTTCCACTTTCCTGAATTCATTTGATTCCTGCCTGAGTTCTCTCCTCGCAGTGGCAAAATGGTCAGTGGAAGTTCCAGGCTTTCATCACCCCTTCAGCCTCCAGCACACCCAGAAAAACCAGGGTGCCCACTCTTTCCCCCACATCCGTGGGCATCTCCCGGAAGGTCTTTGATGAACCCCAGTTAGGTCTGAATCTTGTGCTGGATGAGTCACAGGGACACTATCCAGCCACAGTGGCTGGTCCCAGTAGTTGAGGGACCCTGAGAATTGTGTGGAATGTGGTGATGGGGAGTGTGCATGCGGGTGCACACATATAGGGTATTTGTGTGTGTGCACCGTGTACATGCAGGGGTGTATGTGTGTATGTGTATTAGGGTCTGGGTGTGGGTGTGGGGTGTGTTCAGGGAGTGTGCATACACGCATGGGTGCCTGGGTATGTGCACGTGTTTGTGTGTACGTGGAGTGTGTGTTTGTGTGTGCATGGTGTGTGTGCATATGTATGCACTGGTATGTGTGCATACATGGGGTGTGTGTGCATATGTGGAGGTGTAGGTATGTGGGGAGTGTGTAGGTGTACATGTATGAGTGCATGTGCGTGTGTGTGAAGGTGTGTGTGTGTGTGTGTGTGTGTGTGTGTAGCAGTGGGGTTGGGGAGGAGACAGTCTCCAGAAGGAAAGTGGGGGCCTATTAGCAGCAGTGTAGGGATGGGGAGCTGGGCAGTCAAACCCTTCGAGTCCTGATGCAGAACCTAATCAGAGCTGTGTGGCTGATGGATGAAATGACAACTCAGCACGGATGGTGGCGAGGAGATGTGCAGAGGGACATTAAGAATGGGAGCACCTAGTGACAGATGACACATAAAACATGGCCCAAGCAACTCCTGGGGAGCTGGCTGAAGGGACTTGATGTGGCCCGATATCACAGAGTGAACTAAAGAATAATGGAATAGAAGCAGATCTTGTTGAATGGCTTTGGTTTCCTGGTTTTGTTAACACATATTCTGACTTACTTTCAATTTAAGTCGAAAGGACCTGCCTGAAAACTGTGATCAGTAAACAGCCTGGTCATCAGAGCCGCTGTAAAGGGACCGAAGACACACAGTCCCTTTCTCTTTGAGGCTCGAGCACTAACCCAGAAACTGGAGAGGGCATCCAACAACACAAAGTTCCCTTTAATACATATGCACATATTTTAGTGTATATGTATATATGTAATAAAGTGGAATGCAGAAAGCAGGTATTTACATACGCACATATTTTAGTGTATGTGTACATACGTAATAAAGTGGAACGCAGAAAGCAGGTATTTACATACGCACATATTTTAGTGTATGTGTATATACGTAATAAAGTGGAATGCAGAAAGCAGGTATTTACATACGCACATATTTTAGTGTATGTGTACATACGTAATAAAGTGGAAAGCAGAAAGCAGGTATTTACATACGCACATATTTTAGTGTATGTGTATATACGTAATAAAGTGGAATGCAGAAAGCAGGTATTTACATACGCACATATTTTAGTGTATGTGTATATACGTAATAAAGTGGAATGCAGAAAGCAGGTATTTACATATGCACATATTTTAGTGTATGTGTACATACGTAATAAAGTGGAATGCAGAAAGCAGGTATTTACATACGCACATATTTTAGTGTATATGTATATACGTAATAAAGTGGAATGCAGAAAGCAGGTATTGTCTCAAATTCAGAATGGTTACAATTGATCATTTTTTCAGTTAATAGGTAAAGTTGTTCTGGAGTACATGGGATAATGAAATATGTATAAAACAAATAGGAATGGGTTGGCAAAAACCAACCCAGTGAGGAGATAAGCACTGATGACATTAAGATGAGTAATTTATACCCAAGGCTGAGTAATTTATAAAGAAAAAGTGGTTTAATGGACTCACAGTTCCATGTGGCTGAGGAGGCCTCACAATCATGGCAGAAGGCGAAAGCATGTCTTACATGGAGGCAGACAAGACAGAATGAGAGCCAAGCAAAATGGGTTTCCCCTTATAAAACTGTCAGATCTTGTGAGACTTATTCACTACCACAAGAACGATATGGGGGAAACCACCCCCATGACTCAATTACCTCCCACCGGGCCCCTCCCACAACAGGTGGGAATTATGGGAGCTACAATTCAAGATGAGATTTGGGTGGGGACACGGCCAAACCATATCAGGTAGGTAGGTAGGTAGGTAGATAGGTAGATAGACAGATGATAGATAGATAGATGATAGATAGATAGATAGATAGATAGACCAATAGATAGATAATTAGTTTTCTGTAGTTACTGTAACAGAGTATCATAAACTGGGTGGCTTAAAACAACAGAAATCTATTCTCTCACAGTTCTGGAGCTAGAAATCAGAAATTCAGGTATCCACAGGACCACACTCCCCCAGAGCAGAGGCTCTAGGGGAGAATCCGTTCCTCCCCTCTTTCAGTTTCTGGTGGCTCTGGTGTTCCTTTGCTTGTGGCCACATCACTCCAATCTCCACTTCCGTAGCCATGTTCCTGCTTCCTCTTCTCTCTGTCTCTCCTCCAAGTGTCTCTTATAAGGACACTTGTCAATGGATTCAGGACCCACCCACCTAATCCAGGATGGTCTTCTCATCTTGAGATCCTTCCCCTGATTATGTCAGCAAAGACCCTCCTTCCTGAGAAAGTCACATTCAGAGGTTCCAGGGATCAGGATGTGGACATATCCTTCTGGGGAGTAGCCATTCAGCCCACCACAGGTAGACAGACACTAGATATGCCTCCTATTCATATATTAGATTTTATTACATTGCACTCTGTCCAGTTTTATTTTTCCCTTCTCTTAGTTTTGTAACTACTGCAACTTAAGCAACTGTGAGTTGCCTGGGTTCATTTTACCATATCATTTTGCGTCACAAGCTCACAAAAGACTACACTTTTGAAAAAATGATTGTCAAACCAGATGTGAGAACCTCACATGAGACACCCTATAATTCAAACCATGAGCCCTGCAGGCTGTGTTTCAAGAAGGACAGTCCTATAATAAAAATATTGTGTGTATTTCCCCTCGGCCTTCTACAGGTTCAGGTGCACGAAGACCTTGACACCTATGAGCCAAAAAGTTCCGGAACCTATTTGGGTGGACGTAGAGTGAGTACTTGCTTGAAATCTGTCTTTCTGCCAAGAAATAGTCACCATGCCCACAGCCCCAAAAGCATGTGGTTCTAGGTCACAGCCTGTCACATAAGGCATGTCTGTGGAAAACAGATTTTTACGAGTATCCCATTTCTTTAATCTTCCTTTCCTCCTTGTTGAAAAAAACTAAAAAAAGAAAGAAAAGTAATGTGTTTGTGCCAGTGGGAGAAGAATATTGATATTTTTTTCTGTTTAATTTCCAAAACGCAAAGTGCCTAAATAAAACTTGTGATTCTCTTTGCATCCCAGATTGGTTAGGGCGGAAGTTTGTTTCAATGAAAGTGTATTAAATAGTGGCTTAGTTGGCAGAAGGCAGCAAACCCAGAAGAAAGGGAAGAACATAAAAAGCACTGGAAAAGTAAGTGAAAAGTTTTTCTTTTTAAGTTTGTAGTAGGATAATATTTAAATATACAGGAGTTAAGTATAGTAAATATGTTTTTCATTTTAATTGATCAAACATCTCTCTTCATTGGTAACATATCCTCTTTCTTTCACTCAATGAAAATTCTGACTTGAGTTATAAAATAGCTAGTCATGATTTTTATTGCCATAGCTAGCCATATTTACGTCAATGTGCCACAATAAAACAGAGAGAAACGGTCATTTTTATGTGTAAAGAGAGTGAGCTTAAGCCATGTACCTCTCTCTGGCCACATTAGCATGCACTCGGCACAGCTACAGGGGCCTTACACGGCCCTCCTTGCACGGGAGACTCTAACATCTGGCTTACGTCTGTTTGGTCGGAAAAGTTTCTGTTTCATTTTATTTTTCACTTTATGCTGATACTTTTTGGCTTTTCCAAAAGTATTCTTGGGTTTTTAAAATATATATAGTATGGCCTCAAGTAGTTCCATATTTATTCATACACTGATGTAGCCAAGTTACATGAAGAGTGAAGGAAATGCTTCAAGAGAAAACCGCATCTTACCTCTCGTTTTTTTACTGAATATTTTGGACAAAGAGAATTTTTTTATACCAAGAACTGTATAAGTATCTCAATGTGTATCTTCCTTTTTTTCCTTTGCATTTCTGTTGAAATCTTCTTTACTTAAAAAAAAAAAAGTTGCAGTACTGCATTCCTTTAATAAAAATTCCATGAATAGGCCAGAATTCTGTAGGAAATCAAGTGAGCTAGGACTAGTATTATTCACTTATACTTACAGTTTAATACCATAGTATTAAATTCTCAGTTCCTATTATTAAAATGACATTTATATCCTGTTCAACTGCCTGGATAAAAAAAAAAAATCCATTCCTCGGAATCGTGATGCCCAAATGCAGAATAAACTATAATGCTTAGAATTAATTGCTTCTATTACTCAACAAAAATACAAAGCAGAATGTAAATGGTAAAGGTTCCAGGGAACAGCTGGAAAATATTGCCCTCTTGATAGAAGTTACCTTAATTGTGAAATAATTCCCAAGCCAGGATATCAGCTTTAAAATTTTGCTTTTCTGTCCCCTGGGCAATATTTTACTATTCTGGTCTAACTAATAAAGGTTACCTCAGTTGTTTATTTACAGTTATTGCTGTCAGTTGCCAAACCAATAAAATCCATAAACTCTATTATTTATCACAAGAAATCTGTGTGGTTTTATAGACGTATATGGTTATTTTTCTGTGCATTTTATAGGTTCTGTAACCAATACTAAGTCTCTAAACATCTAAGACAGCTTCTGCCCTGCGGGTACCATTTCCCAGCTGTTATATTAGACATTAGTCACTACTTATTTTGTAAGATTTTTAATTTAACATGTTTTACGACTGTACATTTCATTAGTATTCTATGCAGTCATGCAATTGGGTACCTACTGCCTGCCAGGTACTATGTGAGGTCTGGGGGATAAATAAACTCTTACTAGTTCAGGAAGATTCATGTTTCCTGATCCTGTGGACAGTGCAGCCCATCAGAGAGAGAAACCTCAGAACGGGGCAGTGAGAATAGACCTGCTAGCTTTTACTCTGTAGATCATTTGGAACAAAACCTCTTTACCCAGGAGGTCGCAATGGCAATTGCCACAGCTAAAAGGAAACAATAGAAATAAGACTTGGAGCCTGTAATCCCAGCACTTTGGGAGGCCGAGGCAGGTGGATCACCTGAGGTTAGGAGTTTGAGACCATCCTGGCCAACATAGTGAAATCTGGGTTACAAGTACATTTGAGCAAGCAGGCAAATTTGCAAATATGGAATGGCAAATAATGAGGATTGACTGTATATATGAGATATTTTAAAACATTTTTATCATAAAAATTTTCAAATCTGCACAAAAGTAGAGGGAATATTAACTTTTTTTCTATCTGGATCTCTCTCTTTTTTTTTTTAACTTCACCTCTATGACCCACGTATCTCCGGACAAGATAAAATATGTGCTTGCTCTGTTCACATAAAATAAAGCCTCACACATAGGCATGAAATATGCCTATGACCTAGTATTTGCCCAGTTGAGTTCTTCGAGAACACACCGGGGACTGTTGTGGGGTGGGGGGCGGGGGGAGGGATAGCATTAGGAGATATACCTAATGCTAAATGACGAGTTAATGGTGCAGCACACCAACATGGCACATGTATACATATGTAAAAAACGTGCACATTGTGCACACGTACCCTAAAACTTAAAGTATAATAATAATAAAATTAAATTTTTTAAAAAAAGAGAATCAGTTATAAACCAAACCATGCTGAACTCATGATAATGAACAAACAGGAGACAGGATGAAGAATTAGATACTGATTAGATACAAATACATGTAAAAGATAAGCCCTTTATTGGAAAAAGAAAATCAGGATAATAGATGGAAAAAAAAGAATGTATTCATCACAGATATGTAAATTATATTTCATGTCAATTAGAGTCCTACATGTGCCCAAAATTAACAAGCTTCCAGCAGCTGAACATGTCTGAAAAGCATTTTAGTGGACTCTAGACAAGCTAAGTAACACACTACAGAAAACTGACCAGAAAAAGTTGGCCCAAGTAAGTGTCCTGGTTGGAAATTTCCGATGTGAATGCAAATAAGGCTGAACGGGTGTGAATTACTGCTCCAAGAAACGCTATAATTCTAAACAAAAACCTCTTTACCCAAGAGTTCACAATACTAACTGCCAAACTAAAAGAAAATTATAATAATGGTGATAAAACCAAATTGGTAAGAAATAGATGACAAGAAGTTCTTCTTTGTTGGACAAAGAAATAAAAATTCTTTTTCTGTAAGTTTCACGCTTGTCTATTTTTAAAAATTTCTTCCCACAAGAGGTCACAGCTTAGTTAGGCCTCCTACCATAAAAATCTCAAAAATAATTTCTAAGCAGTTTTGTTTTCAACATCACAATCCTGAAATGAAATCAGAAATTGAAACATCTGCCTCATGCATGTGGATTTCAGACTCTGAACACATAACCTTACCAGGCTTTCGGAGGCTAAGGCGTTCTTACTGAAGACCACTTGGATTACCTTTCTTCCCTCTTTTGTTCATGCCATTCTCCATAGCAGGAAATGTATCATGTAGCATATCATTTGCCCCAAACCAAATTTTCCAAGTTACATGGTCATCATCTCCCTTATTCCTGGAACAGAACAGTGTTGCAAAGTTTGCCAACAGTAATTCAGGCTTGTGCTCCAAGTCGCTTCCTAGACAAGCCTGTCTTGACCGACCAATACCTGGTTTCCCAACGCTTCAATCTACGTAATGAGATGTTGCTGCCCTGTAGTGTGGATGGATGTTTGGGAAAGATGGAAGAGAGAAGGGTTTAGATGCAACCTTAATTATCTACCCCTGACTAGTCAGGAAAGATAGAAGAAATCAGGACGCTGGTTTTTGCGAGGTGAAGAAAATTTAACATTAGGAAGCCAGGAATCAAATAGGAGACCAGCCACGTGTTAAATACGGCTCTCCCTTAAAGCACCAGGACAGGGGAGCGGCGGGGACGGTCTTAGGGAAAAGCCGGGCCAGGATCGAATTGTGTGGTGGCTGGCTTGGCCCTTGGCTGGCACAGTGCTGGCTCGCCTCCTAGGCCATTCAATCTATCTTCATTTCTCTGGCAGTTGACATTTGCCTGCAACAAGGCATTCCTAAAATGATACGATCCAAGAATGTCTTTTATTTACGTTATGATATTCAACACAGACCTCGTTTCTTAATTCACATAAGTAAAGACACCGTAAACGTCTCATTTTAGCATAAAGCAATATTCTGTGCCCTGATCAAAGACAGTAACTGTTGGGTTCCTTTTGCCTGGTTCATTTCAATGCAATGTATTCCTTCAGAGACTAAGTCGTTTCATTTCTAAAAGAAATAATACTAAGATAAGAGCAGGCAGTGAGCCTATGGCTTCCACCAGGAACTGGCTGTCAAAGGTAGAATAAACATCTAATGATTAAATGTTCCTTCTGAAAGGATCAGTAACAATTAGGTAGTGACCACTTTATTTGTGTAATTGAGTTACTTTCCTTTGTGACGCACTTTATTTTATTTTTATTTTTTTTTTTTTTGAGACAGGGTTTCACTCTGTCTCCCAAGCTGGAGTGCACTGGCACAATCGCAGCTCACTGCAACCCCTGCCTCCTGGGTTCAAGCAATTCTCGTGCCTCAGCCTCCAGAGTAGCTGAGACTAAAGGCGTGTGCCACCACGCCTGGCTAATTTTTGTATTTTTAGTAGAGATGGGGGGTCTCACCATGTTGGCCAGGCTAGTCTCGAACTCCTGACCTCAAGTCATTCACCCACCTCGGCCTCCCAAAGTGCTGGGATTACAGGCGTGGGTCACCGCACCCAGACTCCTTTGTGACACTTTAATTTGGTTTTGGAAACTGCAGAATATCTGAATTCTTTATTTGAAAACATTTTAAATCTACTTTTCCTTCAATTTGGGGAAACTTTTCCTACCCAAATTAGATAGGCATATCTATTTATGCATAATTCCTAGATATTGCAGATGCTGAAAAAATTTAGTGAAATTAGGAGCTTTTTTAGCTCAAAGTGAAATATTGTCATGATATTAGTTCCCCTGCCCACTCACGTCCCTTACTTTCCATAGTCCTTATTTTCCAAATCAGAAAACAATGTGTCTGTCACACACTAATGTTTTATCAGGAGAGCCGGTCACCACTTTTCTGGCTGTGTTTTTGTTTTGTTTTTGAGACGGAGTCTCACTCTGTTGCCAGGCTGGAGTGCAATGGCACGATCTTGGCTCACTGCAGCCTCTGCCTCCTGAGTTCAAGCTATTCTCCTGCCTCACCCTCCCGAGTAGCTGTGATTACAGGCCGGCGCCACCACATCCAGCTAATTTTTGTATTTTTAGTAGAGACGGGGTTTCACCATGTTGGCTAGGATGGTCTCGATCTCTTGACCTCATGATCTGCCCGCCTCGGCCTCCCAAAGTGCTGGGATTACAGGCGTGAGCCACGGCACCCGGCCTGGCTGTGTTTTTGTGTGTGTGTGTCAGAACCTCATTCGCTCCATCAGCTATGTCCCTAACTTAATTGATTCCTTAACATGTCTCAACCATTCACGCTGGCATATACCTGCGTGTGTGATGTATGGATCCCAATGCATTTTTGCCATGTAGACAAAAATTGGGGTCTTATCTATTTGATGTGCTTGTGCTGAAGGTTCACTGGCCACAAGCTGGGCCACATTGCTCAGTTTTTCCACTGACTAAAGCTATCGGGAAGGCCATTCACACTGGTTCTGTTTGAAGCGTGGAACAAGATACTATAATTTCAGTTCAACCGAGCATGGCCAGAGTAGATGTACATTCCTCAGAGTGCAGGAAGGGCATCCAGCCAGGGGTACATGCAGAGTGGGGGCTCTGTCTAACTTGCCTGGCCACCTCACTGGGCCTCGCCCTCCCACCTTTTAGTTAGTAGTGAGCTCTTGCTTGATTGAGCCTGCTACCTTACTCCAGTGCAGCCCATTGAGAAGCAGGAGGGGCAGATGTGCTGGGTCGCTCCATCATTTAGTCTTTTATTCAAGGAGTACTATTGAAGGCCTACCATGTGCCAGCCACAGTAGGCTCCAGGGACCCCACAGTGAGCAAAACAGACTTGGACCCAGCCTCAGTGACTCCTGCAGTTTAATAGGGAAGATGGACACTAAAAAGCATCAGGATCCATGCCTTGATAAAGCAGTGTGGTTCTAAGCACACAGCACTGAGAGACTAGTGATTCTGCAGTTCTTCCGTGGTGCTAAATTCTCAAGTCCTCCTGACCCCTGAGATGCAAAATAATCTATTTTTTTCTGCAATACTGGATAAATCATGAAGAACTTCAGCAGGAGTGAAGCCCACTTGTGATGGGGCTGTCTTTTCCAGTATCTAGGGCTCTAGGTATAAATTCTAGTCTTGTTTAGCATTCTGTCCTTCTACGGACTTGATGAGTAATACTGCTTTACATGTCTGCAGTGAGTTCTAGTCTCAAAATCAAGCCCATCTACTGAGGCAATCGCTTGACACCTTTCTCTTTATTTTTTTGGAAATGAGCAGGATACTAACTAACCAACTAAGTAATTATCCATTTGTTCTTCACAGCCGTCCTGCAAGGTAGACAAGGCCTGGACTGTTTTCTAGATAAGGAAATGGAAGTTTCAAGGATAGGCAACTCGCTCAAATCTATACAGCGGGGAAGCTGGGGCCTAGGTCTCCACTCAATCAATCCTTCTCTGCTTGAATCACATGTCGGATTTTATTAGAGTGACTGCATGTTTGTAAAACTTGGTCATTTTTCTGCCCTTGTTTTTAATGAGGTTGAACAAGAAAAGACCAAAGGACAAATTAAAGCATAAGCATTTAAATATAAATTTATTTTTTTACATCACCTGAGAAAAAGAGGAAAGAAACATCCTGTTCCCTCCATGGACAGAAACATAGCCTCTTTATAGCTAAAACACTATGAGTTCCTGTCAGTTCATTTCCCCCTGCGACTCATAATGACTTATTTCGAAGCTACTTTATGTTGTTGTTGTTACAGGCAGGACCGTGAGACGTGTACTTGAGTCACCGTGACATCTTCCTGTCTCGTTTTCGTTTGTTTCAGTTTGGTTTTGCCTTGTTTTTTTTTTTTTTTTTTTTTTTGCAAGTTCTATCGCAAACACATATACTGAGGCAGAAAGTTAAATTAAGATCTAATGCAGTTATCTCAAAATTAAGGAACCAGTCAAAGCAGTAATCTTTAATGTGAGTACAGTAAAGTCAGCAAACAAATAAAATGGGCCAAAAGCCCCCTGCCAGCCCCTTGCACCCATTAGGTTCTATTTATGTGCCTCATGCCCTGTAGAAGACAGTGCTGGCATTGAGCAAATGTCTAGGAAAAGCTGTTAAGTCTCACAGATGTACAAATTATGTTAGCTGATTTCCCAATGCTTCTTTAACACACTATAAATAAACTATCCTAACTGGTTTTTGTAAATAACTTTGCGATAGGTCACTTGTGAAATGAATTCACTACTTGTCCTATCTCAGAAGGTGACTGGGAAATTAAATAAAATGATATATTTATGTTTACCATGTATTTGTTTTTATTTATCATCCTAGTCATTACTATTATCAACTTAATATAACAGGTCAGATAACTTCTCTAATGATATTTTTAGCACTGATCAATTAAAATACTTTATATGGGCTTTTGTATTTATGCTTTGGTGATACCAACCCTTTATAGGTTGGCAAAACTGTATGGCTTATTAGATTGTTGGTTAGTTTGCACATGTTTACAAAAATCCGCTAAGACTCAGGAATGCCCTTTTATTCTTTTTTCATAACTCTGCCCATTTTTTTCAGTACCTCTACAAACGCACAAACCTTATTAAGGTATATCTTCTCCAAGTTCCCTAGCAGAGAGTAGGTGCTCCATAAACACTGCAAGAAGAGGGGGACAATCTTACCTAAGTATCCCATACCTCTACCGTTGTGAAGAAAAAATGTAAGTGAAACCAGTTGCCTCACAGGTGTGAAGAATTCCCTAGGGTCACATGCATTTAAAAGAGGCCTTCCTCTTGAGGGCACTGTGTAACACCCACAGGGACAATTCTAACATGGAATCATCAAGACCAGCCCTAGAAATAATGGATCAGAAGTCAAGTCTGGGAAACACTGCATATGCCAACCTTCTCCAAGTCACAATAAAGGCTCTGAGAAGTCCCACAGAAACAAACCTGTTTAACAGTCCTTAAAAACTGAGTTGACTTTAGAACTTTCTCTCCTTCCTCTTTCCTCTCTCCCTCCTTTCCTCCCTTCCCTCTTTCCTTCCTTCTTTCCTTCTTTTCCTCCTTCCCTGATTCTTTCCTTCCTCCCTTTTTCCCTCTGTCTCCTACTTTCTTTCTATTTTCAGGGCACCTTAAAGACTAGTTGAGGAACACTATTATGGTAATTCTAAACTAACAAACACGACTTGTCAAATGGAGAAGGGAGACATTTTTATACTGTACAGCCTTCCTAGCACCTCTCAGAAATTCCCATGCAGGTGTGAAGCAGGACAGTACTCAGCTCATGGGGTGTGAGGGCTGTTAGTGCATGCACAATGCCGAGAGGGCACCACACACAGAGGAAGTGCTCCATAAATATGTGCTATCACCATCATCATCATTATTAATTATGGTATCCACCAGGGATTGGTCCCAGGGCCCCCCTTGGCTACCAAAATGCATGGATGCTCATGTCCTTGATATAAAATGGTATTTGCATATAACCTACACACATCCTCCTGTATACTTCAAATCATCTCAAGTCCTTATAACACCTAATATAATGTAAATGCTATATGAGTGGTTTTATAGTGCATTCTTTTAATTTGTGTTGTTTTTATTGTTGTGTTGTTATTTTTTATTGTTTTTTTTTCTGAATATTTGTCATCCATGGTTAGTTGAATTCATGGATACACAGAGCAACTGGACTAAAGTTAACCTTGGACTAGTCCTGAGTGAACCTCTGAAATGTTAACTGGAGTATATGTTCAGAACACGCTTCTTGGTGGCAAATATTTTTGAATCAACAAATGAACCAGCTTCTCCTGGGGCAGGCTATTTTTAACATGTTTTAAAATGACCTCTCACTGTTCCGTGGGTGGGTGGGCAGCTGTTTGCAATTACAGCCATCTATGTGGTCCACAGGTATGCCAGCGCTGGGGAATCTGGCTTTTTGTGAAATGTTTTTAAGTAACTTGCTGCCACACTGCACTCAGCAGCCAAACCACACCAAATGGAAATGTACTAAAAGAGATGGGCCGAGCAAAGCGCTCCCTGAAAAACAGACAAGTGACTCATGCTCATAAAATATCACTACCATGGTGACTCTTCAAACACGCTGCCCCGTCCTCGGAGGGGCGCGCATGGCATTTCTGCCAACCGTTTATTGGCCTATTGTTGAGAATGATGGTTTTTTCACAGTGGCTTCTTACTTCTTTATTGGCAAGGCCAGAAGACACGTTGGTGCTGAAGACAGGCCTTCTCAGCTCCGGGAGGAAGAAAACCTCCTTCCCGGACTGCTGCAAACTTCTAAACAAAAGCCTGCAGCCAATTGCACTGTAGCAACCACCAGCAAGGGTGTGAGTGGGTTTTTTGTTGGTGGTGTTCTGAGGCATTGAAATGAAGCAAATAGTCACATGAAGGATTTCTGGAAAATACACGCTCTTTTCATCCTTTCAAAAGCTGTCAAGCCTTAGAATACGGAAATGGCAGTTTGGAAAGCTCCTTATTTGGAAAGAGTTAACCCCACGTCCCTCCAGGCTACCTGCTCCCATCAGGGTTCTTCAGCTGCTCACCCCTGACTGGCTGTGCCTGCTTTTCCCCATCCGGCTGTGAGTGGGCACACACGTGTGGTGTGTGTGTGCACATGTGTACATGTGTGGTGGATACATGTGGTATGGTGTGTGTGTACGTGTTAGTTGTGTATATGGGGGGGTTGTGTGTGCAGTCTGTTGTGGAGTGTGTGGGATGTCAGCGTGTGTTGGGTGTGTGTGCTGAGTGTGTGTATATTTGTATATGTGTGTGTAATGCATTGGGTTGGTGTGTGTGTTGGGTATATTTGGAGGTTTGTGTGTGGTGTGTAGAGGGTGTGTGGTGTGTATATGTGCTGGGTGTGTGTGTGTTGGGTGTGGGTATGTGTGTTTATATGTGTATGTGTGTTTGGTGTGTTGAGTTTGTGTGTGGTGTGGTGCATGTGTTGGGGATATAGTGGAGGTTTAGAGTTTGTGGGGAGGGGTTGAGTGTGTGTGGTGTGTGGAGTCTGTGTGGTGTCAATGTGTTTTGGATGTGTACATATGTGTATGTGTGTGTGGTGTGTTGGATTTGGATGTGCTGTGTGTGTGTTGGGTGTAGGGGAGGTTGTATATGTGTTATGTGTATAACAAGGGACAAATGCTCTTAGCACAAACAGGAAAGATTTCTACCCCACAAAAAAATTCATTTTTATGCCACGTCCTGTGGTCATTGCCAGAGCCAAAGCTTCATACTTATTCCACGATGCAGGAGACACTCTCCACCTGCCCTGATGACACCTGGGGCGTCATACGGCCTACAAATCAACGAGAAGTTGCCAACTGGTTTTTCTGCATTTTATATTATGCTATAGTGGTGGCGGCCAAATATTCGAATAGACTATCTTCATTTTGTTTTACTACCTCTTTCTAACTCGTCCATAATCATCACATTGGAACAAAGGAGGAAGTCAAGAAGAAAGGACAAGTAGGAACATAAGAGAGAAGACGGAAAGGGGAACAGAGAAACAGAGAGACGGCACACCGGGAGACGTTCAGCAGGGCTGCTCAGCGTGGCCTGCACGCGCCCTGGAGGAGGAACGCCCTCGCACCTCCCGGAAACCCAGAACAATTGCCCGAGTGTATCTGAGGATCCATGAATTAACGGTCCCAGAACTGTCATCACCCTCTCACTAACACGCTCTCACCTGTGACATGTTGGCTGGCCCGGGTTTGCAGGTTCAAAGCCGGCTTTGTATACCCACTCCCTCACCATTCCCTTGTGAAATGTGTTCAATTTTCCCCACACGCACACTTCTACGTAATTGTTGCATGTTCTTGTGCTTAATGAGAATAGCATAATACTCAGGTAAAGAAGCCCCAGGTGTTCTGGAACAGTGGTGTTTCAGACAAGAGCTTTGAGGGGGGAGGAGGCACAAACATGGATGTCATCCTTTAGACACTGCACTCAAATTCACAACCTTCCTTCAATCTCAATTGTCCTTGAGATCAAATCAAATTATTACTATTGTTAAACAGGTGACTAGCTTAAATGGCAGCAGCAAGCAGTGCGAGGAGGGCTTGCAGTTGTGCTGATTTCCCCCATAAAATGCTGTACTAAATAAACTTTCAACCTCCATTTCCATCTGTCTAGGGATTTTCAACAAATTCAATAGATTCATTCACAGAATGCTACAGCCAGAAGGGACTTTAGTGATCATCTGGTGCAAATACCTCAGGCCCAAATGTATAAAATGACTTGTCCAGAGGACCTTAGCAGGTTGCATGGAACCAGGCCAGGAATTGAAATCATGCTCTCTGCACCCAGTTTCCACAGGCTCCCATCAAGGATACCAGCGCACACAGGACAGAGAGCCAGCTGGTTCAGGACTGTCTTACCATGGGGACATGGGGAGCCATGCTTTAACACAGACTTCATTAAATTAGGTAATTTCACGTGAACTGGTTTGCAAACACCCACCTCCCAGCACTTTCTTGTGCCAGCTCCAGGAAAGAGACTGTGCTTGGTTTGTCATGAGCAAGGATGCACACAGCCATTAAGCAGGTTTAACCCAACAGACCTCACTCTTAATACATTCCTTCTAAAATAAACCCTTTGCAGAATAAGATATTCTTTCCATACTCCACTGAGGGCATTTGTATCTAATTGGTCTAGATGAGGAAAGAGGAGAAAGTATCATTAAAGAATATTCTGAGACTTGAAATTAGGTATTTTTTTAACTCCTGTGAAATATATATGTATGACTTTGTCTCACCATAAAAAGAAATATGAGAGCTAAGTTTCCTTCTTTGGGGAAAAGGAGAAATAGGCCAATATATTACAAGCTCAGAGCATGAAAGAGTTTGGCAAATACAGACTGGTCTGTCTGCTTTTACTTTTGAGACTGTGTAGGAACAAGGTGGGTAGGAAAGCGAAACTTCTTCTCCTGTACTAAGAAAACATGGAATTTAATGTCAATAAATGTCCAGCAACGAACTATCCCAGAGATGCTATCTCGACATTCTAACATGGAACCCAGGCCAAAAACATAAATAGCTGAAAGTCAGAGTGTGCAAATCACTCAGATGTATGCGGCCAATGTATCCATAGACATCTTCATTTTTCCATTCCTCAAAAGTTTTAAGAATGTACCTGGGCACATGCTCTGTATCCTGCCTGGAAGTTTCCTCCTATCCTCTTGGCTTATCTAACTCCTACACATACGCAAAGTCTCAGCTCAAACATGATTTCTTCCCAGGTGCTTCTTCTGTTCCCGACTTCCCCTATTGTGGGATCCCATGATGTCTGCCGCATCTCACCTCACTTAAGTAAAGCCATCCATCCTGCTAAGCTTATGTGAGGGGAGTAAGTGTGTTTTTCCATTCACAACTGTCCCCCAGCAATTATTCCCTTTTGTCTTAATCTGCTTTGTGCAGCTACAACAAAATACCTGAGACTAGATAATTTATGAAGAACAGAAATTTATTTGTCACAGTTCCAGAGGCTGGGAAGTCCAAGATCCAGGTGCCAGCATGTGGTGAGGGCCTACCTGCTGCATCTTCACATAGCTGAAGGCAGAAGGAACAAAAAGACACAGACTCCCTCCATCAAGCCCTTTTACAAGGGTGCCTAATCCCATTCATGAAAGAGGACCCTTCATGGCCTGATCACCTCTTAAATGTCCCACCTCTTTATACTATCACATTGGCAACACCTTTATTTTGGAGGGGACATTTTCACACCATAGCACCTCTAACTTTATGTCAGTGCTAAATACTTAGCATCTAGTAGTGTGAAGTGGTCTAAGTTGCTCCAGAAACATAATTTATAATCAGTAAATCGATCCTGAGTTATCTGAATGCCTACCCCATTACCAAGTACTGTCCCTTGATATAATCAATGCTTGCTTCTGCATTGGGCTTTATGAGGGTATTAGTGTCAAAAAGTACTACCTTAATTGCAATGAGCTAATAAAAGAATAGAGCTTATCCTGTCAATCAGGGGTCAGTAAGCTTTTTCTGTAAAGGGCCAGATAGTAAATACTTTAGACTTTGCAGGCTTTTTGGCTTTTGTCACATTTACCTGATGGCTGATGTGGTGTGAAAGCAGCCATAGACTAAATATGAATAAGTAGACATGGCTGTCTTCTGATAAAGCTTTATTTACAAAAACCGGTAGTAGGCTGAGTTTGGCCCACAAGCTACAGCTTGCCCACCCTGGACCTAATGATACCTCGAGCCAGCCGCTGGCCAGATGACCTATCAGAGGGTTACAGGAAAGCTTGCTGGTGGTTTGAATAGAGAGAAATGGCAGAATAATAGCATCATTTTGCAGAAGATATTAAAATGGTCATCTTGAATTAAAAATAGAAAAGAAACTGAACCTTAACAGTCCATTCCAGATTCACGTTAAGAGCAGTGGTTTTGGTATAGAGTCTATGTACTTGCAGAATTTTTAAATTTATAAATTTAAATATATAATTTTTTTTACAGTAAAAGTCCCTCCTTCCCATTACCACTTTTTTTTTTTATACTTTAAGTTTTAGGGTACATGTGCACAACGTGCAGGTTTGTTACATATGTATACACGTGCCATGTTGGTGTGCTGCACCCATTAACTCGTCATTTAGCATTAGCTATATCTCCTAATGCTATCCCTCCCCACTCCCCCCACCCCACGACAGGCCCCGGTGCGTGATGTTCCCCTTCCTGTGTCCATGTGTCCTCATTGTTCAATTCCCACCTATGAGTGAGAACATGCCGTGTTTGGTTTTTTGTCCTTGGGATAGTTTGCTGAGAATGATGGTTTCCAGCTTCATCCATGTCCCTACAAAGGACATGAACTCATCATTTTTTATGGCTGCATGGTATTCCATGGTGTATATGTGCCACATTTTCTTAATCCAGTCTATCATTGTTGGACATTTGGGTTGGTTCCAAGTCTTTGCTATTGTGAGTAGTGCCGCAATAAACATACGTGTGCATGTGTCTTTATAGCAGCATGATTTATAATCCTTTGAGTACATACCCAGTAATGGGATGGCTGGGTCAAATGGTATTTCTAGTTCTAGATCCCTGAGGAATCTCCACACTGACTTCCACAATGGTTGAACTAGTTTACAGTCCCACCAACAGTGTAAAAGTGTTCCTATTTCTCCACATCCTCTCCAGCACCTGTTGTTTCCTGACTTTTTAATGCATGGGCAAGGACTTCATGTCCAAAACACCAAAAGCAATGGCAACAAAAGCCAAAATTGACAAATGGGATCTAATTAAACTAAAGAGCTTCTGCACAGCAAAAGAAACTACCATCAGAGTGAACAGGCAACCTACAGAATGGGAGAAAATTTTTGCAACCTACTCATCTGACAAAGGGCTAATATCCAGAATCTACGATGAACTCAAACAAATTTACAAGAAAAAAACAACCCCATCAAAAAGTGGGTGAAGGATATGAACAGACACTTCTCAAAAGAAGACATTTATGCAGCCAAAAAACACATGAAAAAATGCTCATCATCACTGGCCATCAGAGAAATGCAAATCAAAACCACAATGAGATACCATCTCACACCAGTTAGAATGGTGATCATTAAATATATAAATTATATAATTATATAAACTATAAATTATAAAATTATAAATTAAAGTAAAGGGAGTTTATGCATAGCTTTAGGGACTGTACATACTGAAGTACTACAACAATGACAATTTATTTAAACACTGGGGGATTCTGTCAGAAATTTTTTTCTTTGAAAGAGATTTGTCCAGACATTTCTCGAGGTTGAGAACCACTGGCCCACATGAAATGTACGCTCTATAGACCCTCTTCATTATTCAAGAGAGCTCAGGAACCAAAGGCACCACTAAAGTTTCAAAGATCAGACTTCACAGAGAGAACTCATTCTAATGCACTATTTGTGTGACCACAAAAACCTTCACAATATGGAGTCCTGATCAGATATCTGATTTCTTTTTGGCCTGTTTGGTTTTGTTTTTGTGAGTTTAGCCAAAGTTTCCTTAGATTTCAACATTTCAAACAGTGTTTCAATCAACACAGAAGCGAGCAAAGGCTTGGTCTTCAGGGTCTTTTTGGAAAGAAAACTATCACTGCATTTATGAAGCCGAAACATTCATATGTGTGCATACGTACCCATGTGTCACAAGTACACATGCTTTTCTGGGGACTCCATTTAAACCTGTTTGTTTAAAGCCTCAGCTTTCCCTAGAGTTTTCAATGTTTCGCCATTGAGTATCATGTTTGCTGCTGTGGGTTTTTTGTAAATATTCTTTATTGGATTATGAAAGTTCCTTTCTGTTCCTAGTTTGCTGGGAGTTTTTATCATGAAGGAGTGCTGAATTTTGTCCAATTTTTTTCTTCATCTATCAAGATGAGCATACGATTTCCCCCTTTTGTTCTAGTAATCTAAAGAATTACATCGACTCTCAAAAGTTAAACCACTCTGAATCCCTAGAATAAACCACATCTGAACATGATGTTCTATCCTTTTTATACACCAGTTGATTTGGTTTGCTAATATCTTATTAGGGAATTAAGCATCTTGTGATTCTCCTGTCTTTTCCTTGTCAGATTTTGATATTCAGGGTAGATGCCTCATAATAGAAAGTGTTCCCTTTTTTCTATCATCTGGAAAACTTTGTATAGCATTGTTATTGTTTCTCTCCTAAACATTTAGAAAATTTGACCAGTGAAACCATCTGGGCCTAATTTTATTTCATATAAAAGATCCTAGAAATCCTTACTTCATTTATTTCACAATAGGGCAAATGTCTACCTAGATATCAGATTATAGGCTGAAGCCCTCTCCCCTCTGAGTACCTCCTTCCAATGCTCACCACTCCCCCAATCCCAGCAACCCAGGGGTGTGGGAAGGTGGGACCCACCCGACCACTGCTTCATTGTAAATCCTCTGCACACGGGTCCCATGGCTAGCACAACAGCGCACCAAAGGAGACTCTGCCATGCACTCCTCTCAGCTGCGAACTCTAGGGACCCAAATCTTTAAGGCCAAAAGTCCCAAGGTCCCCTGAATCTATCAGCATAACTACACTCTTCTAGGATGGCAAACAGCTGCAAGATCTCAGCAGTTTCCTCTACCAAAGACTCTTCACTTGCCCACAGTTCTTATCCATTTCAGGTCTGCTCTTGCTCTGCCCCTGAGGCCCCTGGGATGCAGGTTGACTGATGGCGCAGCTTTCTCTGGAATATCACCATGCTGGTAGTCGTTGTGGAGGAGGCAGAGGGGGCAGGCAGATCACGTGCTGGTGCTGGCTCTTGGAGCCCCAGTCTGAGAGTGGCAGGCCACATGTCCCCTTCTACATCCTTAACTGAAGCAGGACACATCCAGACAGAGCTTCATTAGAGCAGGACCATGTTTGTGAGCCACAGTGATCTAATCTGATTTAGAGCAACAATTCACCATGTCTTCTCTGCCTCCACGCCATTCCCTTGAGCCACGCACTAGTCTCAGATAACCACTTTCGGTTTCAGTTGTCTCACCTTCTAAGGGAATAAAAATATGTTTGCCACAGGGGCCTTGTGGCCATTTGCATTTAAGGTGTCGGGCACGTAGTAAGCACGCAATGATATTAGTTATTACTATCATTTCTCACTGTGTACAGTAATTCCTAATGGGGGTGGGTTGGATAGAAAAGGGAAAGAGCAGATTGCTAATTGTTATCCTAAAGGTTTGGGGGTTTTAGGTGAAACCAAAGCACTTCCCTCCATCACCACCCCAACACACACAGACACACATGGGCTCACACACATGCAGGACTTGAGGTTCTACAGAGGGATTCTTTGGGAAGCGTGGCACTCCTGCATCCATCCTAGTTCCAATGGATTACTCTGGATACTCAGGGTTACTCTGGGCCCCAGATACCCCTTGAAAGCTCAGGCTGCCCATCAGGGGGCCCATAGTCTGGTGGCACTGGAGCAATCGGATCCCAATGGCACAACATGGCTTTCACTTGGTTCTGCAGTATTTCCTTGACTGTGCAAAGAAAACACGCAAAAGACATTTTGTTGCATAGTCCCACGGAAGCCCTGCTTTGCAGTCAGGAGAGGAAACCTCTCTCTTTCTCTTCCTGCTAGTACCCATACACTCACTTTTCTTTTGGTGAGAGCCTACCTCGGTTTTTTTCTAGGGGCCCCCTCCTCCCGCTCCCCAGCTCCAGCGTCAGGCCATGGCTGAGTTAAATCATGTATCACCCTGTGGCGTGGCTTCAGTGAGCAAGACCCTCCTGAGGCAGTGAGGCTGGGCGGCTATTTGCTGGGCCTTCTGGGAAACCAGAAACGTGCTCTTCCTTTGGAGAAGCTACCGGGAGGGAATTCCTTTCTCCTCGGAAAGGGATGCTGAGCTGCCACTGCCATCACATCAGGCCTCTCGACCTCAGCTCTACTGACATTTGGACTGGGCCATTCTTTCTTCTGACATTTGGACTGGGCCACTCTTCGTCACAGCAGCTGTCCTGTGCACTGCTGGATGTTGAGCAGCACGTCTGCCTCTAGCCACTGGATGCCAGTAGCGCCCCCTCCTCAGTTGGGACAACCAAAAATGCTCCAAACGTTGCCACATGTTCCCTGGGGAGGGGGAGCGAGGATGCCAAATAGGCCCAAGTTGAGAACAACTGCTTTCCCTTAAAGTCAGTTCCAGTAGACTTGTCTGTCACTTGCAGCATATAGAAACCTGTGACAGACAAAGAGGAATGACATCCTTTAATCGTCTCCTAGAAATATTTTTAAGTGGGGTACGCTAAACTCAAATTCCACCAGTGAGTCTCATGCGGACCTTGTGTATGCTGGGTTTTTAAGCATTTATTTTAAATTAATTAAACATTTGCTTTATTTTATTTTATTTATTTTTGAGACAGAGTCTCACTCTGGAGTCTCACTCCAGGCTGGCATGCAGTGGTGTAATCTCACCTCACTGCAACGTCCGCCTCCTGGGTTCAAGCAATTCTCAGGCATACAGCACAACTCCAAGCTAATTTTTTGTATTTTTAGTAGAGACGGGGTTTCACTGTGTTGGTCAGGCTGTTCTCAAACTCCTGAGCTCAAGTGATCTGCCCACTTTGGCCTCCCAAAGTGCTGGGATTACAGGTGTGAGCCACCGCACCCGGCCAACTTTTATTTTGATGGTTCTAAAAGCAAGAAAAAGTTCTAGTTTGGAAGACCTCCTTTGAAATACTGACTTGGATTAAGTATCAAATATGGTTGGAAAAAGAGACACCAAGTTTTAAAAGGTTATTCTACAAACATATGTTTATAATTAGGACACAGATTTCAAGGAAATAGTAGATCCTTACAGAAGAAAGAGCAAGACTAAGAAATGACCAAAGTCACTATGTATTCTGTTTTCTTAGAAATGACCAAGGTCATTATTTTCTGCTCTCTTAACAAAGAAATTAGGTCACTTGTAGAACAAGGCTAAGAAAAAAATCAGTCCCGGCCATGAGTGGGGACTGCATCTTTGCATCATACCATTACGAACAGCTGGCCATTGGATTCAGGTGCCTCTCGAGGAGGATGAGACCTTGGACCTAAGCCATTCTCTTCCACTAAAGGCAGTACCCAAAGAGGGGCTTCGCTGAGGACTGTCAGCTACCAACACTGTGGCAGCTGGAGGCACGAGCACCAGGTTCCAAGAGGGTCCCAGCAGCACAGCACAGCAAGACTTGATTAACATGCTGAACACTAAATACAAAGTTTGCATCCCTCAATTATCAGCTTCAGGAGGACATGCACCTTGCCTTTCTTATTTATCCCAGCATCCTTAAGCACCTGGAACAAAGCCTGGCTCATGGTATTTATTGGTCAGTAAAATTTGTTGATTAGTTAGCACTGAGATAAGCAGTGCTGATGCATTGATTACAGCGAGTCAGTTTCCATTCAGGGCTCTGAGTTGAGTTGAAATTTTTCTCAACTAAATTGCATAGATTTATTATTTCTTATGAGCATCATGACATTTTACAAATGTAGCTGGAAAGTCCATTTTAAATGACATGGAGTCAACCCCTCAGTTGCAGAGGTATCTCAACTCGGGTAAGAGAGTGCCCCGGAGGGAGATGAGTAGCAAGCCTCAGTAATGGGATGAGGCAGGAAACGCAACCATCCCCGAGTGCTCCCCACGATGAGAGAAGGGTCCTCTTGGCACCTAGAACAGCCTTCGGCCAGGTCAGCTGGGTGAGGGAGACACACACTGAGATGGCTGGGGTTCCTCTGTGGAAAAGCAGGGGGCAGGGGGCATTTTGGACAGCTCTTTGGAAAGCTGTAAAATAAAATGCAGTTCAGAACACATGGTGTTTGATCAAACAGAGCCTCCACTCAAGCGCCAAGACTCAGCAGAGGCACTCAGAACTGCATATTGTAAGCCAGAGTGTGTGTTCATAGGAATAATTTAAATATTAGGGAACTTAGTTCTTTGTTTGTAAAACAATTTCTAAATGTGTGTGCTGTCTCATTCTACTTGGGAAAAGAGCCAAGTTACCAATACAGGAGTGTGTGGGATGTGTGCATGTGTGTGTGTGTGTGTTCGTCATGCATGTGTGCCATGTGTATGTGTGGGCATGAGTGCTGGCACACAGCACATTCCACAGGATAGTTATTTCTCAAAGCAGGAGCCAATACTTTTCTCTTTTTAAAAAATGTTTTTCTTAGTTTAAGTATATACTCTTCATAGAATAACTGTCCTTTACAATTACAAACCAAGATCTGGGCCACTAATTCCATTCCTTTTCCTTCCCTCCTTCCTCTTCCCTTCCTTCTTTCCTTCCTTCCTTCCTCTTTCTTCCCTTCCTTCCTTTCTCTCTTCTCTTCCACTTTCTCCCTTTCTCTCTCTCTCCCTTCCTTCCTTCTCTCTCTCTCTCTTTCTTTCTTTCCTGATGGAGTCTTGCTCTGTCACCCAGGGTGGAGTGCACTGGCACGATCTTGGCTCACAGCAACCTCTGCCTCCTGCCTCCCAGGCTCAAGCAATCCTCTCACCTTAGCCTCCCAAGTACCTGGGAATACAGGTATACACCACCAAGCCTGGCTAATTTTTTAAATTTTTTTCATAGAGACAAGCTCTCACCATATTGCTAAGCTGGTCTCAAACTCCTGGGCTCAAGTGATCCTCCCGCCTCGGCCTCCAAAAGTGCTGGGATTACAGGCATAAACCACTGCACCTAGCCTAATTTCTTTTTAATTCAACAGATTATTATTTTTCGAATGAGTTGCTTTTTAAAAAAATTTTCCAAAGAGGAGAGGTCGTCATCAGTATGTTATATTCATCAGCTAGCAGGACACAAGTATTGGGCTTTGCCAATACAGTGTGGTGGTTATCAGACTTTGTTTTATAATTTTTAACTTAATTTTATGTTTGAATAGTTAGTAGTTGGAGATGATACACAATTTAAAAGTGTATGTCAAAAAAAATTGAATTTCTCTCCTTCTCTCCTTACCCCTAGCTACCTAGTTTCTTCTAAAGTGGCCCTCCGGCACTTGTTGCTACCGGCCTTTTCTTTCTTTTTTTATACAAATGGGAACTTACATTGCTGCACTGTTCTGCACCTTGCATTTCACCCCAATACACCTTGGAGAACACTCCATATCAATATAGTTTCCTTATTTTTGTTCAGAGCTGCAAAGTTTTCACATTTTAGGTATTTCCAATAATTGGCTATTATAATTAATAACTGTGGATGTGCTGTTTGCACACGTGCAAGTACAGCTGCATAATAAAATCATTGAAGCAGAATTTCTGGATAGAAGTGTTTAGAGTTTTGATGGGTAAGAACAAATTGCTCTCTATAGGGATTGTAATTAATTTACATTCCTTCTAGCAATGTATGAGACTTCCTGTTTTTTTAACTTTTTCTTTAACAAAGTCTGTCAATTTTTTAAATCTTTGTCAATCTGGTAGGTGGAAATGGTATTTCTGAGGGAGCTGTCAGGGAGCGGGGGGCAGGGGGGAGTGGTAATAGATAAAACAAGATTGCCCATGAGTTGATCAATGTTGACGCTGAGTGATGGGTGCAGGCAGGGAGGTTCACTGCCCTATTCTATTTTAGTACAGGTTTGAAGTTTTCCAAAGTAAAGGTGTAGTAAAATAGCCACTTATTTGTATGTGCTTTTCTGGGTCCCGTCTATTCATAGTCTTTTCCCATTTTTCTGTTATGTTGTTAAAGCTTTTCTACTGGTTTATAAGGAATAATTTAAATATTAGGGAAATTAGCCCTTTGTGAAACAATTTCTAAATATTTTTCATACTTCATCCGTTAACTTTTGAACTCTCAGAATGGTTTTTATATATTTGAATTTAATAATTTTTATTTTATGAATTCTGAGTTTTGTAACATAATTAGAGAGATGTTTCCTATTCCAATCTTTTTAAAGTTCTTCTATGCTCTCTTAAAGTGTTTTCATGGTTTCTTTCTAGGTTTTTTGTTTGTTTACACTCAAAGCTTTGGTCGATCTACAGTTTACATGGTGCTAATATTTAAGACTGAATCCAATTTTATTCAGATGTTTGTCCTATTGTCCCAGCATTATTTATTATATGACCCATCTATTCTTCCTTGATTTCATTTCCCTTTTATCATATAATGAATCTTTGGAGGTATTAGGGCCAGTGTATCCCACAGTCTGTCTGAGATAGCTAAAATCCATGACCTCTCTGTCATCTGATTGCAGTGGCTAGTACCACCAAAACAATGCTAAATATTATTGTAATGTTTTGGGTTTTGTTTTTTGTTTTTGTTTTGTTTTTGTTTTTGTTTTGTTTTGTTTGAGATGGTGTCTCACTCTCACCCAGGCTGGAGTGCAGTGGCATGATTTCAGCTCATTGCAACCTCTGCCTCCTGGGTTCAAGCAATTCTCCTGCCTCAGCCTCCCAAGTAGCTGAGATTACAGGCGCCTGCCACCATGCTCGGCTAATTTTTGCATTTTTAGTAGAGACAGGGTTTCACCATGTTGGCCAGGCTGGTCTCGAAGTCCTGACCTCAGGTGATCCACCCACCATGGCCTCCCAAAGTGCTGGGATTACAGGCATGAGCCACCACACCCAGCCCCTGCTTCTAACTTTGATGGAATACTTTGTATTTCCCCATTATGCATGATGCTTGAGACTAAAATAGGTATCTTTTATTTTAAGGAAGTATCCAACTATTGCTAATTTCTGAAACAACCCCCAAATATCAGTGATTTAAAGGTTGTTGTTGTTTTAATCACTCAATCAGAGCCCAACATGGGTCACAGGGGAATGTGAGGACTTTCTTCCATGCGATCCTTCAGGGACCCATGTTCCTTCCATTTCCTGGCACTACTATTCCGAGAGCATCAGAGGCCTTCCCGGATTCTCTGCATCTGAATGGCAGAAAAGCTTAGAGAATATGCAGGGAATTGTATGGGAGATGTTCTATGGGCCAGGCCTAGAAATGGCCACTCACTTCTTTTCACATTTCTCCTACCTGCAAGAGAAGCTGAACAATGTTGCCTATCTTGGTATCCAGGAAGGAAAAGATACAGTTTGATGACTGCATTACTCTGTCCATTATTCCTATTATTTATTTCCCACCTATTTGCATGTTCATTTTATGTGCATGAATATGGAGTTTACTGTGTTAGTCAGGACTAGCTAGGTTATGCTGCAGTCATAGACAACCTGAATGGCTCAGCTTATTCCTTACTAATGATCCATAGGCTCAATGTAGAGGATCAGCTCTGCTCATCCTAGTCACTCGGGAACCCAGATTGACCATCTGATACCTGCTTCCACGATAGCCATGACAGATAAGGAAATGTCTAGAAAGGCAGAAACCACATTTCAGTGACTGAAGCAAGTCACACAGCCATGACTAACTACCAGGCAGGGCAGGAGGAGCATGTGCAATTCTCCCATGTGTTTGGACACAGAAGTAAACCAGATATAACTTAGCTGTGGAAATACCTACCCTACATAGTGCGATAAAACTATAAATCTGTGTTCTAAAGCCTATCTCACATCTAATCTATGATTGTTTTTATATCCATAGACATATATTAATGTAGTAGGAAAACACTGAAGTGCACCTCACCCCAAGAATAGGATAAGGAGTTGAAAAGATTGTTTATAACCTTTTACACCTTGGTCTACTCAGGGTTCCATATCAATACCCCCAGCCACTAAACTCAACAGAGCCTGTCTAGAAAGAGCAGATCTGCATTTGTTTATTATAAAACTGATAAATCGATCCTTAAATCTGACTAAAGCATTTCACAATTCTCCATTCCAAGGACTAAAACTTACTGCAGCTGAAGTTTTCATTTCAGTTGGAATCTGTCAAATACCATAGAGAGGCCAAAACTAAATTCTGTTAGCAAAGGTCAAGATTTGTGGAAATTAAATAAAAAAAAAAATCTTATCAGCAGTTACAGTTTCAATAGCCTTCTCCCTCAAATGTTAGAAACGAAGTGCCCCTTTTTTCTTTATGGACTACTAGGTACAAAGTATTACAAGAAAATATACATATTCTAGGGAAATCAATCAGTCAAGAAATGAATTAAGTTCCTACTATGCACGCCAGCTCTTGGAATGTGGGTAATTTGTTTTTCCATTCCAGTCGTTATTTGGGTTTCTAACCAGAACTTTACTGGATGTGGATGGATGAGAAAAGGTCAGGATGAAATCTGAGCTAAGAGTGCAATTTGGGATGGATTCTCTTCCAAGGTGTGTCACAAAGTAAGCATGGTGGGTATATCATAGAATAATTATCACCTGTCAATCAATATCCCTCTCCGAGTTTTGCTTCTTCAGAAGTATTTGGAAGCAGAGACCCTACCCTTGCCAGATTCTTGAGCAAATCACCCGGAATAAGCTGCTCTTTGTAAACCCTACTGTTAGAGAGAAAGAGAGAGGTGGGTGGGGAGGGCTTTGGGGACGTTCCTTTGATGTCTGGGACTCCATTTGCTCCCCTCTGCCTTCTTCTGACCTCCATAAGGTTAACCTGTGTCCACACACGTTGTACCATTCCTTATTTGCCCCTCAGCTAGCGTCTACTGAGAACTACTATGTACCAGATCCTGTGCCAAGTCATGGTGATACAAAGTAAAACCAAACGTGGATCCTCCTTTTGAGACAGTCACCACCCAGTAAGGAAATGGACATGTTGGTGAGCTTGGCATGGAGACACTGCTCCTGCCGCTTGCTGCGCTGTGCAAGCTGTTTCATTCACGTTAGGTTTCAGATTAAATCAGTACTGGCTTAAGCCTCCACCTGCAGATTGGCAGGAATTCCAGGATCCCAAACTTGCACTTTCTTGTCCTCCTGGATCATCTAGGAGTCCTGGAAGTCTCCACCACAGTCTTCTTCCAAGCCCTGTTTTCTCCCAGGCTGCTGCTTCTATTTTGCTAACTTGGTTTACACTGCCAGCCAGTACTGCGAATCACCTGTCAGCATTGCTCATCCAGGCTGCAGCCAGAGGGTCTTTCAAAAGAGAAATGCTCAGCAGGGACCTTTTCCTCTCTGTCCTCAATCGGTATAGGTCCCTGTCACTCCGCCTCCCAGGGCTGAGGCTCTGAAGACTCAGTCCTTCCAGATTCTTCCGGCAGAGCCTTCATGGAATCCACAATGACCAACCCCCTTTCCAGACCCAGAGATTCTCAGTGGCATGACTGCTTTCCTTCTCAATCCCAGAAATACAAAGGCTGTATTTCTTCTCTTTTCCAGGCCCTGTTGCTATGACGAACATAGGTCTTTCAACTACCTGGCAAGCAGGAGGTCCTCATCCCAGATGTTCCAGTGGCTCATTCTGTGGTCTTGAATCAGGGCCACCGCTTATAGTTGTAAAAGCTACACATTGCGCAACTTCAAGAGTGGGACTGTTGGGTCAGAAGACAGATGCACACTTGAGTTCACAAAGAAACGGATGGTTTTCCAGAATAACTGTACCAGTTGCACTCCCATTAGCAACACCCTGTCTCTCCATATCCTTGTCAAGGCTTGAGTCATTCATCCTTCTAACTGTTTCCATCTCATGGGGATGAAGTCGTTTCCATTACTACACTTTCTAGAGCTGGATTATTGGTGACACTGGGCTTTGGTCATTTATAATCTTAGCCATGAACTGTTATGGTCTGAAGGTTTGAGTCCCCCTCAAATTCATATGTTGAAATCCTAACACCCAATGTGATTTTAGGAGGCAGCGCCTTTGGGAAATGATTAGTCATGAGGGTGGAGCCCTTGCGATGGAATTAGTGCCCTTATAAGAAGAGACAGCAGAGTGCTTGCAACCTTTGTCTCTCTCTGCCATGTGAGGATACAGACAGCTGTCTAGCTGTCTGTAAACCAAGACGAGAGCCCTCACCGAAGCCCAACCATGCTGGCACCCTGACCTCAGACTTCCAGCCTCCAGAACCATGAGAAATACTTTGTTGTTAATGAACAACTCAGTCTATGGTAATTTGTTACAGCAGCTCAGACTGACTAAGGCAAGGACCTGTACCTTAGCGAACAATTTGGAAATAAATATGCTTAATCTAGATGGTATATATTAAGGGTAACCAATAATAAGTAACTTGCTCCCTCTGAAAATGTTAGTTTTCTTGAAGCACACTAAATACATCACCTTCTTGGGCCTGCACAGCCATGGTGTCCAGCACTTTCCAAAGCACGTTTCCCCCGTGGGCAAACAAGGTGCATCTCAAGACAGGCCCTGCGGAGGGATGGGACAGTAGGTAGCACAGCAGAATTCAGCATCAGTCTCATTAGACCAATTATTTATATTATCCATACTACAAACCTTTTCCTATCCTACACTCAGTATTAACAAACACTTCTGAAATGCCAGGCATGGAACTATGTGCAGGGGGTAGGGCAGACGACAGAGGGCCCTCGTGGAATTCACCTTCTGAAAGTGAAACAAACAGCTTTAGATGCAGTAATGTTACTGGAAGTGCCTGAGTGCAGAGTATCAGCACCTTCATTCATTTCCCTGGCATCCACAGACAGAGATATTCCGACCGACACACAGGCCCTGCCTTGGGGCAGGTTAGTGGGGATGGTGTCTTCATGCACAGGAAGCAGCCAAGCCACGGGAAGCTGAGATGGTGACAGAGTAGAGCTGCCCAGCTGGGCCCAGCAGAAGCCAGGTCCCTGAGGACACAGTGGCACTCACTCCTTGTTCTGGGCCTTCTTGCCCCTGCCCTCCTTCCAAGCACACAGCTCATCAGAGGTGACCACACTGGAGACTTCAGGCTCTCCCCAGTGAGCAGGAAGAGGTGCCTGCCCTGTGCTCTTGTGCTGGCCTGAGGCCCCTCTCCTTGGCTTGTAGAGGTCATCTTCTCCCTCTGTCTTCATGTGGTCTTCCCTCTATGTGTGTCTGTGTCCTCATCTCCTCTTCTGATATGGACACCAGTCATACTGGAACAAGGAACACCTTAATGACCTCATTTTAATCTGATTACCTCTGTAAAGACCCTGTCTCCAAATATGATCACATATGAGTTTAGGGAGAACACAATTTAGCCCATAACAGGGAGACACCACATGCCCACTAAAATGTCCTCCTCAAATCAAAGGAGACTGACAAATGAAGGTGTGCAGCAGGTAATAAGATATCATCCCAGCCAACAGCAAACTGGGAAAGCAGCTTATTTAGGTTTTATCTACTTTTCTTTCCCTATGTCTTCCTCTGTTAAGAGCAGGGAGGTGGGAGCTCAATGGTAGCTGAGGAGCAGCTGCAGCCATGAAGCAGGATAGCCCAAACCACTGTGTTATTCTCCGGCAAAGCAACTTTTACCGAAAAGCATAACTTCTATTGAAAAATTCTGCCATGTTCAATGGCTCATGCCTGTAATCCCAACACTTTGGGAATGGCATTTTTTAAGTACCAGGTGTGAGTATCAGTGGCATGACCACTTGTCTTCTCAATCCTAGAAATATGAAGGCTGAGACTTATATGGCATTTTTAAAGCAACTATTAACTATATAAACACCGTATTCAACACTATCAAGAAATATCAAGAGTACGTGAGCTAAATCTTCACATTTTATTTTCAACTTAACAGTACAATTTGTTAGTATGACTTGGAAACCAAAAAGAAAACAATATAAATGCATGCATTTAACTCCTACAACTCAACAACAAAAACAAAATTTAATTCAAAAATGGAATAGACTAGAATAGACATTTCTCTGAAAATATACACATGGCCAATAAGCACATGAAAAGACGTTCAACAACATTAGTCATTAGGGAAGTGCATATCAGTGAAATATCACCTCACAGCCACTAGGATGGCTCTTAGCAAAATAGGTGAGAATGAGGGTGAATAACAAGTGTGGGCAAGGATGTAGAGAAACTGGAACCCTTACGCATTGCTGGTAGGAATGTAAAATTTTGCAGCTGTTGTGGAAGACAGTTTGGTAGTTCCTCAAAAGGTTAAACATAGCACCACAATACGATCCAGCATTCCACTTCTGTGTATAAGCCCAAAATAATTGAAAGTAGGGACCCAAACACGTACTTGTACATCCATGCTCATAGCAGCATTCGTCACAACAGAAAAAAGGCAGAAGCAGCACAATGTTCATCAACAGGGGAATGGATCAGCAGAATATGGTGCATACACTGGAATACCCACTCAGCCATAAATAGAAATGATATTCTGACACACGCCGCAACAAGGATGAACTGCAAAAACATTATGCTAAGAGAATAGCCACACACAAAGGACAAATATTGTATGATCCCACTTTGTGAGCTACCTAAAATGGTCAAAAGCATAGAGAGAGAAAGCAGAATAGGGGTGTCCAGGGCCTGGGGGCAGGGAGAATGGGGAGTTGGTGTTTAATGGGTACAGAGTTTTGGTTTGGGAAGATGAGAAGTTCTGGAGATGGATGGTGGCGATAGCTGCACAACATTGTAAGTGCAGAAATGTCACTGAACTGTGCACTTAAAAATGATGAAGATGAGCCGGGCACAGTGGCTCATGCCTGTAATCCCAGCACTTTGGGAGGCCGAGGTGGGCAAATCACCAGAGGTCAGGAGTTCGAGACCAACCTGGCCAACATGGTGAAACGCCATCTCTACTAAAAATACAAAAAATTAGCTGAGCATGGTGGTGCACACCTGTAATCCCAGCTACTCAGGAGGCTGAGGCAGAAGAATCGCTTGAACCTGGGAGGCAGAGGCTGCAGTGAGCTGAGATCGCAACACTGCACTCCAGCCTGGGCAGCAGAGTGAGACTCTGTCTCAAAAAAAAAAAAAAAAAAAAAAAGCGGTGAAGATGGTAAAGTCTATATTATATAAATTTTACCACGATTTTTTTAAAAGTCTCTCTGTTGGCTTTGTGGAGGAGAGGTTGGAGGAAGGATGGCAGGAATGGAAGCAGAAAGACCCTTTTAGGAGGCAACCGTGACAGTCAAGGCTTAGACTAGAATGGGAGTGATGCCGGTGGGTGGGGATCAGGGGTGAATTTGGATGATCCCAACATTTCCCACTTAACATCATTAATCTGTTCCTGAAAGTCAGATATTCTGTGAAAAACCACTAAAAATTTTCTTATCATTGTTTGTAAATTGAAAAAAAGTTATATTACAGTGCATGGCAACCATAACCCCAACCAATTTCCTAATATATAACTACAACACAGTGAAATGTCCACATATACATAATAAACTATTATGTCAGGATGTGAAATGCTTAAACCATCATTTCCTGACCTCCACATAGTGAATGTGCTGTTACTTATTCATCTGATTTGTAGGCAGTAGCAAGTAACAGTTTATATGCCATAATATAAGCATTTTGTTTACAATGGGCCATGACAAGTAACACACAGCAATGAATCCATTTGTTGGAAAAAATGCAGACAAAAGTTTACAATAAAAAAGTGAGGCTCAGCCAGGCGCGGTGGCTCAAGCCTGTAATCCCAGCACTTTGGGAGGACGAGGTGGGCGGATAACGAGGTCAGGAGATCGAGACCATCCTGGCTAACACGGTGAAACCCCGTCTCTATTAAAAATACAAAAAATTAGCCGGGCGTGGTGGCGGGCGCCTGTAGTTCCAGCTACTCGGGAGGCTGAGGCAGGAGAATGGCGTGAACCCGGGAGATGGAGCTTGCAGTGAGCTGAGATCGCACCACTGCACTCCAGCCTGGGTGACAGAGCGAGACTCTGTCTCAAAAAAAAAAAAAAAAAAAAGTGAGGCTCAGCCGGGCCCCATTACTCACGCCTGCAATCCTAGCACTTTGGGAGGCCGAGGTGGGAGGATCGCTTGAGGCCAGGAGTTCAAGACCAGCCTGGTCAATATAGGGAGACCCCATCTCAAATTTTTAAAAAAATGAGGCTCTTTCCTGTAATTAACTGTGATTCTTCATCTTCACAGTTTCCAGGGATGTGGGCACGGACATCTTTGGAGGCTGCTATTCTACAATGCATGAAGGATGGAGGAAGTACGAGTTGTCAAGCTGCGGAACCTGGGATCTCCTACCTCTGGCTTTCTCACTACGTGAAATGAATTTCCAAACTGTTCAAGCTAAAAAAAAAAATGCATATATCTTAGTTTGCTTTGTGGCTTTCTGACTGATATTATGAACAAATTCATGCTATATAATTGTATCCCCTTGATAACTTTTCATACTAAATTTACACTCATGAACACCAAAGTACGAAATGAAAAATTCAGGCAAGTTACAGCAAAGAGCCCAGATAAACAAGGGAAAAAATGCTTGTCTATGAGCAATCTACCAAATCAGGATCGCTACTTGGAAGCATTCAAAATTAGTCTTTATTATTAAAGTACATTTTTTTCACAGGAAGAAAGACTTCCTGTATATGTCTAAACGGTTGATGTAAAAGTGCAGCTGGCCATACATAGGCTAATCCACATTAATTTAATATTAAAATACAGTATGCCAGCTCTTTCTAAATTTGCTCCAGAGCAATAGATGTCTTGGGAGTCCATATTAATGAAACATTATGTTGCTCTAAGCAAAAAGGAGCCCTGCGGAACAGCCCTGAAAAGAAGAAAAAGACCAGGAAACTTCACAGGCTGCTCTGCTCAAAAAGAAGATTAAAAATACCCACTAGAAGAATTAGGAAACAAATACAAGAGCACCTTTTTCTTTAATTTCTCCACTTTCCTCTTTCCACATATGATTTAACACAAGTTTTGCCATAATAGGCTGTCCTTAATAAAGACAACACAGAATGAATTAATAAGTGAATGAATGAATAAAAAACAAATGATTGGATAGAATGGTTCATCATTTGGGATCAATATGTCTATGAAGGATAGTAATGAAAGTATAAGTAGTTGTCAACAGTTTCCCTCTTCTTTCTCACTCAGCAGCAGCCACATGTTCTCACTGTCCTTAAGCAGATCTAGTAGTTGCGTGGAGTGCTAAAGTCTAACTGTGAACTCATCTTTTAATGAAGACGCTAATTTTTAAATCACATGGATGCTATTGATTTGTTTGGCATATCTCATGCATCAATACATATAACATGCATCATCACATACTATAAATTTTTTAAATGTATAGACCCAAAAGATTGTTTTAAGACATAGTAGACCCAAAGTGGAACAATGAATGTGTGAACAACAGTCAAGAAAAAAGTTTAGTTAGTGCTTCATGAGAATACTCATTCAATTAGGAAGTACACCCACTGCTTACTCTAACGTACGTCCTCGTCCTAACTCAGAAACACATTTTGATACTGAGATGACTTCCTTGGCTACACAGGGCCTCCATTTCCCCCCAAAAAGAGGGTTGGATCAGGTGGTGGTTATGGCGTCTCCCAGTTCAAAAAGCCAACAGCATCATTTCAGCGAGGAGTAGTTTAAACTAATGTTTAAAGTATTACAAGTGCCAAGCACTCCAAATAGACTTTAACCACTAAGTAAGAAACCCTGGGCTATTCTCCAAGAGTCTTAAAACTTGCTTAGAGTCCAAGAAGACGGAATTGCTGAAAATAAGTTGTGTTGCCTTAAGAATAGGAACCAAAATATGGTTTTAACCAAAATATTTGATTTGTGTGTTAATACAGACACACTTTTTGTTCTCTGTCCCAGCTTTTAATATTACAAGTCATTTTAAAGTCTAAAACTACGATCAATGGGTTTTTAATGTCATATTTCTCTTAGATTGTTGCTGTTGTTGTTGTTGCTCGGGGTTTTTAATTTCATTTTTCACTAGAAATCTTAGAAATCTGTCAAAGAATAAAGTATGTCTTTGGGCATATATACTATACTTCAAGTTACATGCATTGGAAATTTTACATATGGTATTATCATTGCTTTCAGATTTAGATATTTCAGCTAACACACACGTAGACTTCCCTAAATCAATCCTACCCCTCCACTACCACCTCCACCACTGCTTTTCAAAGGATTTAGCCCATTACACAAATGTTGCTTATATGTATTTCTTCCAGGCAGCTCCCATTGTCTGCAAGTACTCTCTTCAAAAACAAATTCAAAAGTAAAGTTAAATGCAGTCATATTACAGAGATAGCAGCAACAATATTTGGTTAACATAACTTCCCAAAATGTAATGTGTGGTTCGAATAAATTTGTTGGGAAGTGAATGTTTGCAGTAGAAGAGTATAAGCAGATATAAACATCAGAACCTTTACGATTAAATCAACAGAACGCCATTGAAATGTTCTATATCAATGAAGAATGGCTTTAAAGTACAATGCTTTAGTAAACACAGACCCTCACTTTAATCAGTAATTTTAAACTTCCCTTTCACCAAACATTTCACGAATGCCTGCCAGCATGAGATATAATCGGTTAATGTAAGGTTCACCCTCTTCTCCTTTGTCTCCACTATACACATATTTTGAAAATGGAAAGACAAAAAAATGGAAACCAGGGTATTTACAAACGTAATTATTAGCACCACAAAGATCCATAATTCCCATTATTTTATACGTATATTGGAAATGGTTTGTAGCTGCATATGATACCAATACGTATTCACTCCTATCAAAAGATAACAGTCACACCTAAAGGCACATTTCTGTGAAAGCCATTTCACAAAACAGGAAAAAAACTGAATTTTGAAATGATAGAGCTTTGCGTCCTTCTGCCAGGTGTTTTATTTTTATCACATAGTTTCTGTAAGAGAAATTTAGGCACAAATAGTCTTTCTCAATTAGGCCAGCTGGTGGCGGTGTTGACTGCATACCAGAACAGCCTAAACCTGGCAAGAGCTTCTCATTGTTTCAGAAGAGTATTTCCCAAGAAATACAAATGAGTTCATCTTATCTGTGTTTTGAAACTTTCAAAGATATTATTCCCTCATATCAGCGACTACTGTGAACTCCCTTTGTAAAGCCTGATGATCCGTCTATTTCTCTTGGCTCTGTGTACAGCATTCAAGAGACAGGACGTGTTTCATTTCCAAGGCTTAGTTAATCGATGGATATACATTTTATCTGTTCACAGCTAGCACCACTGTTTACCTTGCCCATGACAGGGCTTTGAAACTACATGGGAATTTTCCTATAAGCAGAAGAAAGGGCAACATCTGCATGAGAGAAACACAAGTTTATATTCGGAGTTAGAAACATTAAAATCGTCCAGGCCGCTGTCAGATTAATGTGTATACAGACCCACTCTGGGTATGCAAATCAGGATCTTCCCACGAACTTCTCTTTAATTGTGCTTTTACTTGATATGTCCTTATCTGTGTGTGTGTGTGTAATCTGCCTACTTAATGGAACAATCTCTGACACCAGGGCTTTGAATCATGCCAACAAGATAAACTGAAACCGATCATATTGTCAAAGAGGCATTTATAAATGTAAATACTTCTGTATAATCTGAATAAAATTTTCTCTTTCTTTATTACCAAAGTTCTCAGGTTTACTTACATGCTCCTCTCCTCTCCATATGCATTGCTGAGTTAGTTGTTCATTCCTTTTCTGTAGAATAGAGTTGGCAAATTTTTCTTAAAAGATCAGATCATAAATATTTCAGGCTTTGGGGACCAAGAGGTAAAGTCGAGACTATTACGTGGGCACCTACATAACCACTTAAAAACGTAAAAGCCATTCTTAACTCAAGAGTAGTACCAGATGCAGAGGAAGGACAGATTTGGCCTTGCAGGCCAAAGTTTGCCAATCATCTTCTAGAGAATAAATTCTATCATGGGATGTATGTATATTTTTCCAGTAAAATCCACAAAGACTGGCAGAAAAAAAGACTCTAGCCTGTATATGATGTTAAAATTTTTCTAGTTAAAAATTTTCCAATTTAAAGCTACATATTAGAATTTGATACTAATCATTTATACTTTTTAAAAATGCATACTATTATCACTAAGAAATAAAAATCCTGGACCTGAGATCAGAAAATTTGGCCCAAGAGACACTCATAATGCTGCACAATGGGCTGTGTGTGGCGACAGGGGCAAGAGAAGACAACCAGAAACACCCCCAAATAAATAACCATAATGCTGTGCACAACATACCAAGCACAGCAGGCAATTTTCAGTAACCACCTTATAGCGTGTTTTAAAACTTAGTGTTGACAACACAACATTTTTTTCTTCTTATCGTTAAACATTTTTAGTTTTATTTGTTTTAACTGACTAATAACAATTATACATATTCATGGAGTTCATAATGATGTTTCAATACATATAAAGTGAGTGATCAGATCAGGGTAATCAGCATTTCCATCATCTCAAACATTTATCATTTCTTTGTGTTGGGGACATTTCATAGGCACCAATACCTTAAATTTTAAATTTAGAATTTATATATTTTTGACAATTATTAGCACTGTAGGTTTTCAAGAAAAGATCCCCCTTCTTGCAGACTTGGGACTGTGCAGGGAGCGCTCCGGAGGCCAGGACAAAGGGTATCAGCGATGGGCTGGTGTTGATGTCTCTTCCCTGGAGATCTGAGAGAATGAGGAACTAATCTGTTGAACTAACTTAGAATGAATCATGAGTTTTGGGTTCACACTTTGTTTTTTTTTTTCCTTTCACCAGCAGCATAGGGTATTTTGCAAACTAGATTAGCTAGTAGAAAAGGAATGGCATGAAATAACAGACTCACTCAATAATTATTTGACTTTGCAATATGGTCAAAAATATTCTCAGAAGCTTACTTTTTGAAAATGAAGAAAAGAAACTTGATATGCCTGCATGCTGGGCCCTGACTTAGAGCTAATAGGGACCTTCAATATCATCCAGTTCAGCCCTCTTAGTTCACAGGTGAGTAAATGACAGCCCAGAGCACTTGAGTGGCTTGCCCAAGGCCACACAGCAAGGAACTAGCTATTCCAGGCTGATGCGTAATCAATCTACTTAACAGCAAACTTTCTAGCTCCAGGGACAGAACCAAAAGCAAGTTATTTTTCTTGAAATGAATGGGTCTTTACTTAGACTCACAAGGTAAGAGTAAAATATGAGCTATTTTGAATGCTTTCCAGCATTGTCCAGAAACCCAATAAAAATGGGAATTAAGGGATACAACTCTCACTACTACTCCAGATAGGATAGGTGCAAGCTGTGGAGAGCCGGGGGTTCGGGGGGAAGTGGGAGGTGGGTGGGGGTTTGAGAGCTGGCCTGCAGATGCCCAGGAACCTGAACCCTGCCTCCTCCAGTGGTCACCAGCCACACTGTGTCTGAGGGTCTCCAATGCTGGCAGAGACCTGCAGCCTCTGTCATCGCCTCAGACTGTACCATTCAGCAGCCACCGGGCCCTCCCTTTTGTGGAATCAAAGGGAAGCATCAGGAGAGACCAGGCATCTCAAAGCTGGGCTCTCCAAACATCACGAGATCAACTCCTTAAACATAGGAAGCCAAGCCTCTCGCCCTTCACATTTAAACATCTCAAACTGCTGCGTTCTAATCAAGTCAAGCAGCCAATGTTGTTTTTAACATTTAGAGTCTCTACTTTATGGGACACTGTGATCCATACAATAAATTTTTATCACAAGCTGGCATTTGCTCAACAGGTTCCTGGCTACTGAAGTGGATTACCCTTGGGCCCTCTATCAAGATGGCTTCATGTCTGGATTCCAGGTGACTTGGATAGTTTTCACTCTACTAAACCACACTACCTATAACGCACCTGATCTCCCTTGAGTGTCAGAGTTGGACATCCTGCCCTGTAGCACCATAACGACAAGAGAACCCAATCTTGTAGAGTCAGTGTGATGGTCTGGGGACATAGGAAATGCCTCTTTCTACACAGAAGGAAGATTATATTACGTAGTCCTGGTGAGTTTTTTCCCCATAATTGTCATCCAACATAAACGTCAGTCTCCATACATACGGCCAACAAACACGTGAAGAAATGCTCAGCATCACTGATCACCAGAGAAATGCAGGTCAAAACCACAATGAGACACCATCTCACACCAGTCAGAATGGCTATGGTTAAAACGTCAAAAAAATAACAGATGCCGGTGAGGCTGCAGAGAAAAGGGCATGCTTATACACTGCTGGTGGGAATGCAAATTAGTTCAGCCCCTGTGGAAAACAGTTTGGAGATTTCTCAAAGAAGCAAAAATAGAATTACCATTCAACCCAGCAACCCCATGACTGGGTATACACCCAAAGGAAAATAAATCACAAAAGACACCTGCCCTTGTATGTTTATCACAGCACTGTTCTCAACAGCAAAGACATAGAAACAACCCAGGTGACTATCAATAGTAGATTGGATAAAGAAAATGTCAGCCGGGCGCGGTGGCTCACGCCTGTAATCCCAGCACTTTGGGAGGCCGAGGCGGGTGGATCACGAGGTCAGGAGATCGAGACCATCCTGGCTAACAGGGTGAAACCCCGTCTCTTTTAAAAAACACAAAAAAATTAGCCGGGCGTGGTGGCGGGCGCCTGTAATCCTAGCTACTCGGGAGGCTGAGGCAAGAGAATGGCATGAACCTGGGAAGTGGAGCCTGCAGTGAAGCCGAGATCACACCACTGCACTCCAGCCTGGGCGACAGGGCGAGACTCCTCTCAAATAAATAAATAAATAAATAAGAACGAAAAAATATCAAACTTATACACCACGGAGTACTACAAAGTCACAAAAAAGAATGAACACGTCCCCTGAAGCAACATGGATGCAGCTGGAGGCCATTATCCTAAGCGAATTGACACAGAAACAGAAAACCAAATACTTCATGTTCTCACTTCTTTTTTTTTTCTTTTGAGACAGGGTCTTGCTCTGTCTCAAAAGCCCAGCCCAGGCTGCGGTGCAGTGGTGTGATCACAGCTCACTGCAGCCTCAATCTCTCAGGATCAAGCAATCCTCCCACCTCAGCCTCCAAAGTTGCTTGGACTACAGGTGTATGCCACCATGCCCAGGTAATTTTTTAAAAATTTTGTAGAGACAGTGTCTTGCCATGTTGCCCAGGCTAGTCTCAAACTCCTGGGCTCAAGTGGTCCTCCCACCTTGGCCTCCCAAAGTGCTGGGATTATAGGCATGAGCCGCCACACCCGGCCTGTTCTCACTTATAGGCTAAACCAATGTTTAGCTTCACCACAAAAGGACATGAAGACGGGAAAAATAGACACTGGGGACTCCAAAAGGAAGGAAGCTGGGGGCATGGGCTGAAAAACTACTCATCGGGTACTATGTCTGCTACTCGGGCAATGGGATCATTAGAAGCCCAAACCTCAGCATCACACAATATACCCTTGTAACAAACCTGCACCTGTGCCCCCGAATCTAAAATAAAAAGTAAAATTGAAAAACAAATACATACATAAATAAACAAAATGGAAAAAAAAAGAAATGTCAATCTCCCCTTCAAAATGCAAGGTTAGGACATTTTCTCAGCTGACTACTGAGCTCCCAAGGTTTTTATTTTAAACTAAATTTAATGTTGACAAATATTTACAACTATTTCCATTTGGATGCTGTATATACTCTATACTACTGTAGCTGTTATTAAGAATATTATGTCTATCATTTTTCTCCAAAAATTTCAGAATGTTCTATTAAATCCTAACACAAATTTCCCTCAACCCTACATTGCCCCATAATCCTTATCTTGGGTGTTCCTCAAATATAACAAAAGAGGCTAAGGTACACAGCCAGCCAGAGCAGGCAACGCGATTATGAATGCAGGGTCCTCTGACACCGCAGGAGACAGTCCCCCACCCCCGGTATGCATTTAATATTACAATTCCATTTGCAGAATAGATCTCTCCCTACTAAATTTGCAGGATTGGTGTCAGAGAACAGGAAGAGCCCAAAGGTTGTGGTTAAGGGCTGAGAGACACAAAAAGCCTATGGATTACTTGAAATCCCAATGACTTGTGAGTTGTTACCGTGAGGAGGTTGAACAAAGGCAGCAGGGTTCAATGTATAAAGAGTGTCTACTAGCAGCTGATGAGGACGGCCATCTGCAGTTAAGCTAATTCATCTTGAGTGTTTAAGCATAACAGGACATCATGCCCTTTGTCCTTCTACACAACTCCTTCATTGATATGAATCAAGGAATTTTTGTCATTTTTTTCTGTTCTCTGTGTGTGTGTGTGTGTGAGCGCGCACGCGCATGTGTGTGTAAGATGGGAAGATCTTTCCAGTTTAAGATATCCCAAAGTGTCCTTGTCCATAGGTGGTTGACTGGGGAGTGGGCTACCCAGCTGTTTGATCTGCAGGGCCACAGTTTACTTTGGATCTTGCCTCGTTTTTGTTCTAAAGCCCTTGCAACATGCTGTGCCTGGTGTTGTTGCTCATCTCAGGTGGCTATTCTCCATGCTCATTTCTGTTTTTGAATTAGGTCTCCAACTTCAGGTTCAATTCCATTGACAAAGCCAGATGAAAGGGCTGTTGCTCCCTCAGCACCTCTGTAACGCTCAGCTGTCATCCAAAGTTGCTTTCTAGTCTATCTCGGAAATCTCCTATAGTGTCATCTTTTTTCTTTGTTTGTTTGCATGATTGAATTATGCTCCAGCAGATTTGTTTTGAAAACATTTGGGGTATGACTTTTAGGGCACTTGACCTACATTTTGGGTAGGTCCCTTTTTTTGACTGTCAGGTTTATTGTGGAAAGGGGAATCCTATAAGGCATCGTTCCTGGTCAGTCCAATCAGCTTTTACCCTCCAACCTTTAGCATCGGAGGTTCTGACCAACATGTGTACACGTTGACAAATGTACAAGGTACCCATGTGTACAACATGTGTACAAAGTCAGGGGTCCCTGGGTCATATGCCTCCAGAGGAATTCTAAACTTTTCTAATAAATATTTGCTGGTCTTCTTTGGCTTTAAGGAAATCATTTTTTTTTCAACTTAAAAAAAAATACAGACAGGGTCTCACTGTGTTGCCCAGGCTGGTCTCAGACGCCCGGGCTTAAGCAATCCTCCTGCCTCAACCTCCCTAAGTGCTGAGATTACAAGCATTAGGGAAATCTTTAATTATACCTCTTAATTCAGCCCAGGCCCAAGGCTTAAGTCTACAGTTTCCCCACATAACTGGTTTGAAAGAGGAGTTTTAGGAGGGTTGTTTGGGAAAAGTAGGAGGTCTGGACCAAGGGAAGATGAGGGAGGCGGTGTGGGTGTGGAAGGACAGTGATCAGAGCATAAAAGGAAAAGAGAGCTGGATATTAGGAGACAACCAAGGGAGCATGGAGGGGGAGGTTTTCCAGAAAAATGAGTCTAGTGTGTTCTTTCTTACATTTGTCGAATTGCTCATTAGCTCTGGTCAATGAATCTTTTAGTGAAGCACTTTGTACGTCAGAATTTTATCTGGAGGTGTACCAATCAAAAAATGCCACCCAGCAGGCAGAAAGCCAGAGAGAATGCTGTCTCTGGATCAAAGTCAAGCTCTCAAGACACAAAATCCAGATGGATCAAAGTCAAGCTCTCAAGACACAAAATCCAGACAGAAGGAGAACCTCATCTGGTTTTATTGGTTACCCATAGCTGAGTTTGTCCAAGTGGGTGCCTGTCAGTGAGAACCACAAGCTCACAGGTACGTGAGCGAAAAGGACTGACAAAGAAAGGTATGATTCCACCAAGGCTGCCAAACAAATGGGAACTAATACCCAGTTATTAACAAAAGCTGGATACCAAAGTGAGCACAGTCAAGGAACTCAACACAAAGAGAGTGGGGTTTAGACTCAGGGCTGACTTAGCACATCCGTGCTTCGAGTGGCAAGACACAGGGGGCCTCTGTGGGTACCAGACCTGGCTGAAGGTTGAGTCCAGGACAACAGAGTGTGCAGACCTCCACTGTTAACTATGGAAATACATGAAGACCAACCAAGTGAGAACAAGCAAAGACTATTTATTCAGAGCTTGCCATAGCAAGGGCGTCACCCACCACCTTGCATTTCGGCAGAGACTCAAAGGCAAGGAGAGAGGTAGGAAAGCTTTATAGTAGAATAAGGGGAAGCTTTCAAGTGCATGTTGATTGGAGGATATAGGCGTGGGAAAGCTGGAGGCAGCTAACTAGAAGTGGGGCCTCCTATGTGATTGGTTAGGGTGCATATTTGACTTTCTCTGATTGGCTGTTAGTTGGAAGCAGGAACAAAAATTAGAGAAGTTGTCAATCATCACTCAAGTTCTTGACCTGTTATGGCGGCTCAGGCCTGTAATCCCAACACTCTGGGAGACCAAGGTGGGTGGAACACTTGAGCCCAGGAGTTCAAGACCAGCCTGGGCAGCATGGTGAAACCTTGTCTCTACAAAAAATACAAAAAAAAAATTAGCCGGACACGTTGGCTGTACCTGCAGTCCCAGCTATTCAGGAGAATGAGGTGGGAGGATCACCTGAGCCCAAGAGGTCAAGGCTGCAGTTAGCCATGATCACCAGTGCACTCCAGCCTGGGTGACAGAGTGAGACACGGTCTCAAAAAAAAAAACAAGTTCTTAACATTTTGGGCCAATTGTTACAGAGATTATTGCTGCAGTTTGTGGATCTGAATCCTATTTTTATATAGCCTGGCCATTGTCCACTGGTCTATTCAGTCTCCCAGCACATAGCCTTCAACCCAGCACTTTTGTTCCCGTGTGAATGAAATGAACCATGTACAAGGTTATGCATGGCAACATTGTTTTGATAGACAAAAGAAAAGTTGGAAAACAACCAAAATGTCCATAATCAGGGCACAGGATAAATGAGTGAGGCTGCCCCCCTATAATGGAGTACTAAATCGGTGTCCCCTTAATGTACTCCCAAAGCCCATTGTCCATGCTTTGATGACAGCACTCATCACATGGTGTCCATTTATAGGTCTGATTCCTTAACTTCACTCTTAAGGACTCAAAACAAATTTTAACTTTCTCTATGTGTCTGCTTAACACTTGTCAGGTGACAGCGAAACATGGAACCTGTTCCTCTCTAAACAGAGGATAGGCAGTCATAAAAAGCAGTACAGAGTTTAAATTTCACTAACATAAAAACACAATTCAGTAAATTGAAGCATATTTTTGGGGAAAAATTGTATTCTACTATAAATTTGGACATTAGACTACATTTACAAAAGCAATAGAAGTGTTTAATTCAAATGAAATAAGGTTCTAAAAGCAGGGATCAGCACAGTTTTTATAAAAGGGGTCACACTAAATATTTTAGGCTTTGAGGACCATATTGCATTTGTCACCTGTTCTTTGATTTTTTAAAAATAAACTTGGCCGGGCGCAGTGGCTCATGCCTGTAATCCCAGCACTTTGGGAGGCCGAGGTGGGTGGATCACCTGAAGTCAGGAGTTTGAGACCAGCCTGACCAACATAGTGAAACCCCATCTCTACTAAAAACATAAAAATTAGCCCCACTTGGTGGCGTGCACCTGTAATCCCAGCTACTCGGGAGGCTGAGGCAGGAGAGAGAATCGCTTGAAACCAGGAGGCGGAGGTTTCAGTGAGCCAAGATCGTGCCATTGCACTCCTGCCTGGGCAACAAGAGGGAACCCCGTCTTAAAAAAAAAAAAAAGAAAAGAAAAGAAAAAAAAACTTAAAAATTGGGGCTTGCAGATCTCTGTTTAACAGGCAAAGTTCATTGACTTCTTTCTGTTCTTAAGAGACCATTTTGGAAATCTAAGTATAAATATCTAAGTATGAATATTAAGGATACTAAATAGGTTTTTTCAGACAAAGTAACCATACAAGAAAAGAGACTGAATTGACTACTGAAATTTTAGAGTTAGAAGCAACTCCAGAACTTGTTAAAACTCAAATTGCTATGGGGTCCAAGTTCCAAAGTGATGCTCATGTTTTTTGTCTGGGACCACATTTTGAGATCTGTTGCTGGATAGGCTAAAAGCTTTCCAAATCCTTATTTTTGCTGCATCATGAGGAGATTCTTGTCATCTCTGTGAGCAAAGCTCCTAGGAACAAATTCCCCTCCCAGCAGCCAGTGTATTGGGCACTTTGTTGCTGTCACACGGAAACTTCACAGACCCACCCAAATCTGAGGACAAAAGGAAAATGTTGTCTAACCGGCAACACCCCCTGAGGTACACCTCTGGAACAAGAATACAGCAAGAATCTATTAATAGGAGTGATCCCTTTCGAACTGAAAAGTTCCTGTACCCCTCCCTGAAGTAAGCGCCGGTATTAAAGGCTGCTGACCTGAATGGGCCATAATGCAATATGGTGACAGCTTATGTAACCTGTGAAACTAGTTCAGCCAATCTTCAGGGACAATAGGCTTAAAATGGATTGATGTTAGATCCTTTTTAGGTGGACTTGGGTGTTCAGTTTGGTTTATTAGCCTTCCTTAAGCCTGCTAGCCTGTGCCAATTTTTATCATAATCCTTAGCACTCTAAATGGTCCTTGGGATCAAAGACCAGCTTACTTGTCTTTGTTGAGTTAATACATGTTAAACACTTAGAACAGTACCTGCACATAACGTGTACTATACAAATCTGAGTAATTGCTGTTATTATTCACAGCACCTAGCCTGGAGCTGGGTACTTAGAAGGAGTTGAATAAATACTTTTCAATAATGAATAAACAAACTGTATGATGCATGCTTATGATCCCCTCAGTAAAAATTTTTGTAGTTTATTTGTGGTCCTTGGAAACATTAATAATTTGGGACAGTCCAGACATTAAGTTTCTGTTTGGGATAATGAAAAAAGTTCTGGAAATAGATAGTGGTGATGGTGTATTAGGTTGGTGCAAAAGTAATTGCAGTTTTTGCCATAGCATTCAATGGCAAAAAAATCGCAACTACTTTTGCATCAACCTAAACACAACGTTATGAATGTACTTTTTTAAGCTTCCACATGTAAGTGAGAACATGCAGTATTTAACTTTCTCTTCTAGCCTTACTTCACTTAACATAGTGTCCTCCAGTTTCATCCACGGTGCTGCAAATGACAAGATTTCATTATTTTTCATGACTGAATAGTATTCCAGTGTGTGTGTGTGTGTGTGTGTGTGTGTGTGTGTGTGTGTGTGTGTGTATAATTTTTCTTATCCATTCATCTGGTTTTGGACACCTAGGTTGATCTCACATCTTGGCTATTGTGAATACTGATGCAATAAATGTGGAGGTGCAGATGTCTCTTCAATATAATGATTTCCTTTGCTTTGGATAAATTCCAGTAGTGGAATTGCTGGATCATATTGTAGTTCTGTTTGTAGTTTTTTGAGGAACCTCCATGCTGTTCTCCATAGTGGCTATACTAGTTTACATTTCCACCAACAATGTATAAGAATTCCCTTTTCTTTGCATCCTCACCAGCATTTTATATTTTTTGTCTTTTTGATAACAGCCATCCGAACTGGGGCGAGATGATACCTCATTGTAGTTTTGATTTGCAATTCTCTGATGGTTAGAGATGTGAGCACATTTTCACATATTTCTTGACCATTTTTATGTCTTCTTAGGGAAATGTCTATTCAGATCATTTGCATTTTTTTTTTTTTTGAGACAGAGTTTTGCTCTGTCACCCAGGCTAGAGTACAGTAGCCTGATCTTGGCTCACTGCAACCTCCGCCTCCCAGGTTCAAGCAATTCTCATGCATCAGCCACGTAAGCAGCTAGGATTACAGGCATGTGCCACCACACCCAGCTAATTTTTGTATTTTTAATAGAGACGGGGTTTCACCATGTTGGCCAGGCTGGTCTCGATCTCCTGGGCTCAAGTGATTCACCCACCTCGGCCTCCCAAAGTGCTGGGATTACAGGCGTGAGCCACTGCGCCTGGCCCACATGTCCATCTTTTTCTTTTATTATTATTTTTTGTTAGCTGTTGAAGTGTTTGAGTTCTTTGTATATTCAGGATATTCACCCCAAATTGGATAAGTAGTTTGCACAGATTTTCTCTAATATTGTAAATTATCTTTTCACTCTATTGGTTGTACCCTTTGCTGCACAGAAACTTTTTAGTTTGCTATAATGCCATTTGTTTATTTTTGTTTCTGTTGCTTGTGCTTTGGATATCCTATTCATAAAATCTTTTCCCAGACTCATATCCTGAAGCATTTCCCCCAAAGAACTTCTTCTAGTAATTTCATGGTTTCAGGTCTTAAATTTAGGTCTTTGATCCACTTTAAGTTGACGTTTGTATTGGGTGAGAGGTAGGGGTTTAGTTTCATCCACTTTTCCTAGAACTATTTATTGAAGAAACGGTTCTTTCTCCAATGAGTGTTCTTGGTAGTTTTGACAAAAATCAGTTGACTATAAATATGTGCATTTATTTCTGTGTTCTCTATTCTGTTCCATTGATCTACGTGTTTTTTAATGCCCATTTTGGTTACTACAACTTTGTAATATATTTTGGGGTCTGGTAGTGTGACACCTCCAACTTTTTTTGTTATTTCAAACTTTATCCAGCTTTAGTAAAGGTACTTTCCATAAACAATCATGGTATTTCAAGCAGAACTTGGGCAGACAATCATTAACAGTACACAACAACTTTCAAACTCCCTTCTTCAGTTGACTACCCAAAATCAGAAAGCCACTATAAAACTCAATTAAGTCTTCATCTGATGCTCTGAACAGAGAAAGTTTAGAGTGAGGGTTAACATTTCACATTTAGCATGTTGTTCAACACCTTTTCATGAGCCAACCCTGGCTTTCAGGAAGTAAAATGAAAATGGCAGAATTTATCCAAAGATCCACAACCTACAAATGGAACCACTGCTCTTTTAAGGAGCACCATCTCAGTGCTATCACTGGAAAGTCCAGATTGCCTGACACACTGGTGACCAATTACTGGGGGGTCACATCCCAACAGGTGTCTGGGTTTAAGGGAGTTAAGTCTATGCTGAAAGGTTGAAAGGGAGAAGAGGACATAAAAATGAATTTGTTTTTAATGGCTTTTGTGACAAGGTGGCCATGTGTGTCAAAGTCAGGAAATCCCTCCTCCTGGGAGCCAAGAGGAAGTCTCTCAAAACTAGAAGGGAAAGGTGTCTTCTCCACATCAATCCAGCTTCACGGACATTCTTTTCCCAAAAACAACAATGAATTGTTCTGTGTGCTAACAACATAGCTTTTAAAAAAAGTGAAACAAAATGCTGCATTTTTATAAAACTTGATAAAAAGAGTATTTCACACTCTACAGTCACCTCTAGAGGCACATAGTTATCAAAAATGTGCACACTTCACTTGGCATCTCCAGCACCTTCAGCTTTCTGTGCCTGGTCTGTTTTGGCATCTCCATTTTCTGCAGGGTTATTCCCCTCCTTGCCAGCAACAGCTTTTCCCTTTTTCCATTGGGTACCTTCTCTCCCTTCTTCTCGAGAGCCTTTTTTGGCTTGGGCTCTGGCTTTGGAAGGTTTAGTAGACAACCTCGCGGATCTTCTCAGTGGTTCGTCTTTCACCTTGGCTTTATCTCCTTTAGCATCCCCTTCAATCTTTGTCTTGGGCATGATGGCAGCAATGGCAGTGGGATGTAGGCACTTGGCAAGGGATGCAGTGGCCCGTGGGCTTTGGTCAGCCCAGGGGGCATTCTCACCCTTCTTATTTGATACCTCCAACTTTGTTCTTTTTGTTTGGAATTGCTTTAGATATTCGAAGTCTCTTGTAGTATAATATACATTTATGATTTTTTTCTATTTCTGTGAAAAATGTCATTGGTATTTTCATAGGGATTACATTGAACCTGTAGATTGCTTTGGGTAGTATTGTCATTTGACAATATTAATTCTTCCAACCTATAAGCATGGGGATGTCTTTCTATTTGTTTGTATCCTCTTCAATTTTTTTCATCAAAGTTTTGTAGTTTTCCTTACAGCAGGCTTTCACCTTCTTGGTTACATTTATTACTGGGCAGTTTATTTGTTTTGTAACTATTGTAAATGGGATTGCCTTGTTGATTTCTGTTTCAGCTAGTTCATTGTATGTGCCTACAAAAGCTACTGATTTTCGTATATTAATTATGTATCTTGCAACTCTACTGAATTCATTTATCAGTTCTAAGAATTCTTGGTAGAGCCTTTAAGTTTTTCAGTATATAAGATTATGTCATCTGCAAAGAAAAATTCGACTTCCTCCTTTCCAATTTGGATGCCATTTATTTTCTTCTCTTGGCAATTGCACTGCACAAGACCTCCAGTACTACGTTGAACAAAAGCAATGAGAGTGGACATCCTTGTATTGTTCCAGTTCTTAAGAGAAAAGCTTTTGGCTTTTTCCCATTGAATAAAATGTTAGCTGTGGTTATGTCACACATAGCTTTTATTATATTGAAGTACTTTCCTTCTGTACCTAATTTACTGAGAATTTTGATAATGAAGGGATGTCGAATTTAATCAAATGCTTTTGCTTCATCTATTGAGATGATGACACGGTTTTAGTCCTTTATTCTATTGATGTAATAATGATGTTTATTGATTTGTATATGTTGAACCATCCTTGAATTGCTGGCATAAATTTCACCTGAGCATGGTGTATCATCTTTCTGATGTAATTTTGGATTCAGTTTGCTAGTGTTTCACTGAGAACTTTTCCACCTATGTTCATCAGGGATATTGGCCTGTAGATTGTTTTGTTGCTGTTCTGTTCTTGCCTAGTTTTGGTATCAGGGTTATGCTGACCTCCTAGAATAAATTAGGAAGAATTCCCACTGCTTCAACATTGCTGGAATAACTTGAGAAAAATTGGTATTAATTCTTATTTAAAGGAGCAATAGAATTCAATAGGAAAGCCATTCAGTCCCGAACTTTTCTTTTTTGGGGAACTTTTTATTACTAATTCAATCTCATTACTTCTTTTGTGTGTGTGTATGTGTGTGTGACTTACTCTGTCACCTAGGCTGGAGTGCAGCAGTGCAATCTTGGCTCACTGCAACCTCTGCCTCCTGGGTTCAAGTAATTCTCCTGCCTCAGCCTTCTGAGTAGCTGAGATTACAGGTGCACACCACCATGCCTGGCTAATTTTTGTATTTTTTCAGTACAGACAGGGTTTCACCATGTTGGCCAGGCTAGTCTCAAACTCCTGATCTTGTGATCTGCTCAGCTCAGCCTCCCAAAGTGATGGGAGTACAGGCGTGAGCCACCGTGCCCAGCCCAATTGCATTACTTCTTATCACTCTGTTCAGGTTTTCTATTTCATCTTGGTTAAATCTCAAGAGTTTGTATGTGTCCAGGAACTTGTTCATTTCCTTGAGGTTTTCAAATTTATTGAAATATAGTTATTTTTAGTAGTTTTTAATTATCCTTTGTATTTCTGTGATATCCATTGTGACATCCCCTTTTCATTTCTGATTTTATTTACTTGGTTTTCTCTCTTTTTTAGTTAGTCTAGCTAATTGTCTATTTTGTTTATCTTTTCAAAAATCCAAATTTTTGTTTCATTGATCTTTTGTATTTTTTAGCTTCAATTTTGTTTATTTCTTCTCAGATCTTCATTATTTCCCTTTTTCTACTAATTTTGGATTTGGTTTTTTCTTCTTTTGGTAGATTTGTATCTTTGTGCATCATCAGGCTGTTTATTTGAAATATTTCTAGTGTCTTCATGTAGGCATTGATTGCTATAAATTTGCCATTTAACACTTCTTTTGCTGTGCCCCATAGGTTTTGGTATGTTGTGTTTCTATTTTCATTTGTTTCAAGGAATTTTTAAATTCCCTTCCTAATTTATTCCTTCACTCATTGGTCATTCAGAAGCATGTTTTCTAACTCCCATGTATTTGCATAGTTTTAAATGTTCCTCTTGTAATTGATGTCTAGTTTATTCCACTGTGGTCACATAAGATATTTGACATAATTTTGATGTTTTAGTGTTTTGAGACTTGGAATTTCCTTGTCTCAAGGAAATTCCTTGTGGGCAAAGGACAGAATTCAAAGTCATCCCTCTGAGGTTGACCTGAGACAAATGGATATCTGATTGTTTCCTCTGTCTTATTCTTTATGTAACAATGCAGATGCACCAAGCCAGACTAAATTGTGTATTCAGTGGAAAGCTGATCGAGGACTTAAAAGAATGCAACCTTTTGTCTCTTATCTACTTCTGACCTGGAAGCCCCCACTTCAAGTTGTCCTGAAGTGTCTCATGTCTCCCTGAAATGCATAAAAGCAAGCTATTCCCCAACCACCTTGGGCACATGTCCAAGCCTCAGGACCACCTGAGGCTGTGTCATGGGTGCATCCTTAACCTTGGCAAAATAAACTTTCTAAATTGACTGCGACCTGTCTCAGATATTTTGGGTTCACATTATTATCTTTTCACTTTCAGATGCAAGGCTCCCTTGAGCATTTCTTATAAAATCAGGTTAGTGATAGTGAATTCCCTTATGTTTTGCTTGTCTGGGACTTTATTTCTCCTTTATTTCTGAAGGAGATAGCTTTGCTGAGTATAATATTCCTAGTTGACAGGGGTTTTTTCCCAGTACTTTCAATATCTTGCCCCATTCTCTCTTGGCCTGTAATGTTTGTGTAGAGAAATCTGCTCTTAGTCTAATGGGGATTCCCTTAAGTTTGACTTGACACTTTTCACTTGCTGATTTTAGAATTCTTTGTCTTTGACTGTTGACAATTGGACTGTTATGTACCTTGGAGAGGACCTGTTTGGGTTGAATCTATTTGGAATTCTTTGAGCTTCCTAGACCTGGATGTCCACCTTTCTCTCAAAACTTGCGAAGTTTTCTGCTATTCTTTTATTAAATGTGTTTTTCTCACCTTTTCCCATGTCTTCTGCCTCTGGAACACCCATAATATGAATATTTCTTGGTGTAATAGTGCCCTATAAATCTGATATCCTTGCTTCATTATTTCTTCTTCCTCCTCCTCTTCTTCTTCCTTTTCTTCTTCTTGTTCTCCTCCTCCTCCTTCTTCTTCCTCTTCTTTTCCTTCCTCCTCCTCTTCCTCCTCTTCTTCTTCCTCTTCTTCTTTTCCTCCTTCTCCTCCTCCTGCTTCTGCTGCTTCTACTTCCTGAGTTGTTTGAAAAGACCTATCTTTCAGTTTAGAAATTGTTACTTCTACTTGATCTAGTCTTTTGTTGAAGCTATCAATTTCATTTGTTTTATTCATTGAATTATTTAGCTCTAGGATTTCTGTTTGGTTCTTTTTTATGATACCTTTTTTATGATATCTGTCTCTTTGTTGAATTTCTCATTCAAATCAATTCAAACCATGAATTGCTTTCCTGACTTTATTGAGTTTGTACGTCTGCATTTTATTGTATCTCACTGAGTTTCCTTATGACTATTATTTTACATTTTTCTCCACCTTTCACAGATTTTCTTATAATTATGGACTGTTAATGGAGAATTACTGTTTTCCTTGCTTTCTAATGTTTGATGTATCCCTACATTAATTTTACACATCTGATGGAAAAGTTGCCTTCAGCAATTTTATGGAGTAGGTTTCATAGGGAAACCTCATAGGTTTCATACACTTATTCATATAAGTGAGTTTGGGGGTATCAGTTTGGTGGGGTGCACTGGCCTTTGTTCTACATTAATAAGTAGTGTGTTATCCATTTCTTCAGCTATAATCCACACTAGTGGCATTTGTGAGTGTGTGTATATATATACACACACACATATATGTAAAATTGTGTGTATGTACACATATATGTGTGTATATATATACATATATATGCAAAATTGTGTGTATATATACACACACACATATATACACATATATATGCAAAATTTAATGAAGCTAATACTGTGACCACTACAGAGGCCCCCAGTGTGTCACTTCTAATCATAATCTTTTCCTTCCCTAATCAGAAATAACCATTATGACTTTTGCAAAATTCAGTTTCTTGCTTAAAATTTTCCATTTGTTTATGCATTTCTAAGTGATATAATTTAGTTTGCCTGTTTTAAAAATATGTAAATAGAATCACACTGAATGTGTGTGTGTGTGTGTGTCCTGTTTCTTTCATCTAACATTATATATGTGAGATTCATTTATGTTGTTATGTACAACTGCAGTTAATCAATTTTTATGGTGCATGGTATTCCATTGTATGAATATACCAAAATTAGGTTGTTGTTTTTTTTTTCTGAGACAAGTGGCTGGAACTACAAGCATGCATCACCACACCTGGCTAATTTTTGTATTTTTAATAGAGATGGGTTTCATCATGTTAGCCAGGCTGGTCTCCAACTCCTGAACTCAAGTGATCCACCCGCCTTGAGCTCCCAAAGTGCTGGGATTACAGGCGAGAGCCACCATGCCGGGCCCCAGCATTAGTTTATTAAATAGCTATACCAGCTTCTTTCAATTATAGTGTGAATAATACATCTTTTTTCTTATTTTCATTTTAGACCTTTCTCTACCTTATATTTTGGAAGTACCTTTTGTAGATACCATATAATTGTATTCTTATGGTTTTGATGTTCTTGTTATCTAATCTGATAATCTTTGTATTTTAGCTGACATATTTAAGCCATTTGCATATAATATAATTATTTTATATTTGGGCTTAAATCTAGCATATTTTAGACTTTATATTTGTTATAGCTATTCAGTGTTTCTTTCTTCTCCTACTCCTTTTGTAATATTTTTTATCATTCCATTTTTTTCTCTACTGATTTCAAATTAGATCATCTGATCCTATTCTTTTTTATAAGATAAAACAATATACTTTAATGTAATAAGGTATGAAAAAATAATCAATATGCTTTCAGATTTCAACTGCAACAAGTTTTTTTTTTTTTAAATCACATGATTGGCTCCTCTGGCCACCAGACCCCATCTTCCAAGAGTCACCTCATTAGCACAGACTCCAGTATGATTGAAAGGGGCTTTTTAAAATTATTATTTCAATAAATATTTGGAGAATAGGTGGTATTTGGTTGCATGAATGAGTTCTTTAGTGGTGATTTCTGAGATTTTGTGCACCCATTACCCGAACAGTATATACTGTGCCAAATTTGTAGTTTTTTTTATCCTTCACCCCCTTCCCACCCTTTCCCTTGAGTCCCCTAAGTCCATTGTATTATTCTTTTTTTTTTTTAAACAGAGATGGGGTTTCACCATGTTGGCCAGGCTGGTGTCGAACTCCTGACCTCAAGTGATCCACCCGCCTCGGCCTCCCAAAGTGCTGGAATTACAGGCATGCACCACCACACCTGGCCTGTGTCATTCTTATGACTTTCCATCCTCATAGTTTAGCTCCCACTTATGAGTGATAACATACAATGTTTGGCTTTCCATTCCTGAGTTACTTCACTTAGAATAATAGTCTTGAATTCCATCCAGGTTGCTGCAAATGCCATTATTCTATTCCTTTTTATGACTGAGTAGTATTCCATGGGATAAATATACCAGAGTTTCTTTATCCACTCGTTGAATGATGGGCATTTAGGCTGTTTCCATATTTTTGTAATTGCGAACTGTGCTACTATACATACGTGTGTGCAAGTATCTTTTTCGTATAATGACTTCTTTTTCTCTGGGTAGATACCCAGTAGTGAGATTGTTGCTGATACTATTCTTTTAATGGTTATCCTAGAAATAAAAACATGAATACCTATTACTAAGCAAGCAATGGACTTGCTGACTGATGTTTACAGAAGCCAATGTTATGGCAGAGGCTTTTGAGAAAAGAAAGACTTTATTGTGAATCAACTGGCAAAAAGACAGAAAACAATGCTCAAATCTCCCCAAAAAAATGCTCAAATCTCCCCAAAAAAATCTCCCCAAGCCAGGGGCTTGGGCAGGTTTTACAGGAAAAGGGTAATTAGGTGTGATCTAATTGGATCTTGCAAAGAGGTAACGCCTGGGGGTGTGATCTAATTGGATGATGCCATGAGGTGATGCCAGGGTACTATCTAATTAGAGCATGAGATGAGGTAATCCCCAGGCTTGCTGCCATATTCAGTCCCTGTTCCTTCATATGAGAGGTTTGGTTCCACCTGTGGTAGACTTTTTAGTTCTGCCCGGATCTGGAGTCATGAATAAGGCACATTTGGTTCATCTGGGCATGCTCAGGTTATGTGCCCTGCATTCTAAGGTTTCACAGCAATTGAAAAACAATTCACCATTTTATTACACAAAGATGAATTAGATTGAGCCAGTTCTATGGTTACATACTTAACAAAATCTAAAGATATCCTCCTCCTAGACAATGAATGGACCTCAGAAAAAATTTAATTTCATTTGCCCTTTTCCTAATTTATATGTTATTGTTGGAGTATTAACTCTGTTTTTTTTCAATCCTATTAAATATTAATGTTCATCTTTTTCCTTTAGGATTATCTAGATACTTCTCACTTTCATTGCTCTTTACTTTTTCTTGCATGTTATGTCTTCCACTGGAATTATTTTCTTTTGCCTGAAGTATACTCTTTTTTTTTTTTTTTTAACAGGATGTCACTCTATCACCCAAGTTGGAGTGTAGTGGCACAATCGTAGCTCATTGCAGCCTCAAACTCCTGGGTTCAAGCAATCCTCCTGCCTCAGCAGCCCAAGTAGCAAGGACTAAAGGCATGCACCACCACACCCAGCTAATTTTTTTTTTAAGAGGCAGGGTGTGATATGGTTTGGCTGTGTTCCCACCCAAATCTCATCTTGAATTGTAGCTCCCACAATTCCCACATGTTGTGGGAGGGACCTGGTGGGAGATAATTGAATCATGGGGGTGGTTTCCCTCATACTGTTATCATGGTAGTGAATAAGTCTCATGAGATCTGATGGTTTTATAAAGAGAACCCCCTTTTGCTTGGGTCTCATTCTCTTTTTTTGTCTGCCACCATGTGAGACATGCCTTTCACCTTCCACCATGATTGTAAGCCCTCCCCAGCCACGTGGAACTGTGAGTCCATTAATCCTCTTTCTTTTGTAAATTGCCCAATCTCAGGTATGCCTATATTAGTCCGTATGAAAACGGACTAATATAGGGTGTCACTATGTTTCCTAGGCTGATCTCAAACTCCTGGCCTCAAGCAAACCTCCTGCCTCAGTCTCTGCAAGTGTTGGGATTACAGACATGAGCCACCATGCCTCATCAAGAAGTATATTCATTAAAATTTCATTTAGTAATGCTCAGCTGACAGTGACATTTATCTGAAAATGCCTTTTTTAAAGGTCATTTTTGAAAAAGGTATTTTTTTGTTGCTTACAGAATATAAGATTGGAAACTATTTTCCTTCAGCAAATTGTCTTCTTGTTTAAATTGTTGCTGTTGAGAAGTCTGCTTTTCACTCTCTGATAATATTTTGAAAATAATTGCTTTAAACATTTTCTCTTGCCTTTAGCTAGCATAATTTTTATTAGTATTTGTTATTTTATCATATTTATTTGAGGCTAGATGAGGACGTCTTTGTACTTAGTGTGCGTCCCATATTTGTGAATTTCTGATTTTTAATTCCAGAAAATTCTCAGATTTCATCTTCTCAAATATTGCCTCTCTCATTCTCTTTCTTTAGAACTCCACTTATTTGTTAGAGCTCACTTTATTCTCCTCACCTTCTTACCCTCCTTCTATATTTTGCATCTCTTTGTGTCTCAATAATACAGGCTAGATGAAACATTCTCCCCTATGTTTCAGTTAACTAATTTTATCTGTGGTAGAATTTAATCTTTTGTTAAACACATCCAACAAATTTTTAAAGTTTAGTCTTTCTATTTTCCATTTATTACTCCATTTGGTTCTTTTTTAGATTTGGTAGGTCACTTTTTATAGGGTTCTATTCCTGCATATATTTTTTTCTTTAAACACAGCAAACCTGATTGTTTTACGATCAATCCATGGCTGACATTTTCACTGCCTGAAGTGCTTACGAGTTTATTTCTGCAAACTGATGTTTCTGCTTTTTCCTTTTTCTCTTTTTGTGCCCATAATGCAGTGAATCTATGTACACTCTTTAAATTGTGTGCTAGGCACTATCCATGAAAATTTATTTGTGGAGACTTTTTGAGGCCTAAGATAAAGATATCTCTACCCAGTGGTAAATGCGTAGTGGCACTATTAGTAAAATGACCACTTTTTTTCTAACTTTTTAAACAATATTATTGGGAAACCACATAAAACAATACTTGCATACTTTAATAATACATATCAGTGCCTTTTAACAAGAGTTTACAAACTGTGTAACCACTGTCAATGTCAACAAGTAGAATTTTCTCCTTAGAAAATTACTGTTTGTCAGTTTACCTATGTAACGAACTGGCACTTGTACCCCTGAACTTCAAA